>NC_000003.12:170069210-170220725 GCF_000001405.40 Homo sapiens | reverse complement strand
ACTCCGGAGGCTGAGGCACGAGAATCGCTTAAACCCAGGAGGCAGAGGTTGCTGTGAGCCTCTGAGACTGCACCACTGCACTCCAGCGAGACTCCGTCCCTGGGCAACACAATGCACAGTGAGATCCCGTCTCATTTTTTTAAAAAAAGATAATTCACATGCCATACAACTTACTCATTTAAAGTGTAAAATTTGATAGTTTTAAGTATCTTCACAAAGTTTTGCAACCATCACCTCTACCTAAATCCAGAGTATTTTCAGCACCCTGAAAGTAACTGCATATCCATTAGCAGTTACTCCCCACTCTCCTCAACCTCTGGCAACCAATAATATATTTTCTGTTGCTATGAGTTTTTCTATTCTGAACATCGCTAGTAGCTGGGACTACAGGCATGTGCCACCACACCCTGCTAAATTTTGTGTTTTTTGTAGCGCCGGGGTTTTGCCATGTTGTCCAGGCTGGTCTCAATCTCCTGGACTGAAGCCATCTGCCTGCCTCAGCCTCCCAAAGTGCTGAGATTACAGGTGTAAGCCACCATACCCAGTGAAGGTTTCAGTTTTTTTTAATGTCCTTGCCAATACTTGGTTTTTTTCCCATCTTCTTTATCATAACCATCCTAGTGGTTGTGAAGTGGTATCTCATTACAGTTTTGATGTACATCTCCCTAATGACTAATGATGTTGGGTATGTTTTCGTGTTTTTATTGGCCATTTATATATCTTCTTGGAGAACTATCTATTCAGATCCTTTAATCATTTTTAAATTGGGTTGTCTTTTTTCATTGAGTTGTAAGAGTTCTCTCTTTTCTTTTTTTTTTCTTCAAGACAAGATCTTGCTCTGTTGCACAGACTGGAGTGCATGGCATGATCACAGCTCTCCAACTCCTGGGCTCAAGCGATCCTTCCACTTCAGCCTACTGAGTAGCTAGGCCCATAGGCATATGCCACCACACCCAGCTAATTTGTTTTTCTCGTTTTTGTAGAGACTAGGTCTTCCTATAATGTCAAGGCTGATCTTCAACTCCTGGGCTCAAGTGATCTTCCCACCTTGACTTCCCAAAGTGCTAAGATTATAGGTGTGAGCCACCATGCCTGGCCAGAGCTCTTTATATATTCTGGAAATACATCTCTTATTAGATTATTTGCAAATATTTTCTCCCACTCTGTGCATTATCTTTTCATTTTTTTAATCTTTTCATATTTTTGATGGTATTATTTGCAGCATAAAAATTTTTAATTTTCACGAGGTCTAATTTATTTTGTTGTTGTCACGTATGGTTTTTGTTTGTTTTACTGTGTGCCAGACTATATGTTATATATGTTTTTAGTGTCATGTCTAAGAGGGCTTTGTGTAATCTAAGATCATGAAGATTTACACCTATATTTCCTTCTAGAAGTTTTATAGTTTAAACTCTTACTTTTTAGCTTATGATCCATTTTGGGTTAATTTTTGTGTCTAATGTAAGTGGTCCAAATTGATTTCTTTGCATGTGGATATTCAGTTATCCCACCATCATTTGTTGAAAAGACTATTTTTCTCCCATTTAATTGTTTGCACAATTGTCAAAAATCAAATGACCAAAATTTAAGGGTTTATTCCTGGATTTTAAATTCTATTCTATTGATTGATTTGTCTATCCTTTGACAATAATCACAGTGTCTTCATTACTGTAGTTTTTTAGTAACTTTTAAAACAAGGAAGTGTGAGTCTTACAACTTTTTTTTTTTTCAAGAGTGTCTTGGCTATTCTGGATCCCTTACATTTTCATGTGAATTTTAGGATCAACTTGTCAATTTCTTTAAGAAAGCCAGCTGAGATTTTGATAACGATTGCCTTGAATCTGTGAATCAGTTTGTGTGGTTTTTGTCATGTTAACAGTATTAAACCTTCCAATCCATGAACATGGGATAACTTTTCATTTATTTAGGCAGCTTCAATTGCTTTCTCATTTTCAGAGTATACATTTTGCACTTCTTTTACTCTTAAATATTTTATTCTTTATAATGCTATTGTAAACAAATTGTTTTCTTAGTTTCCTTTTTGAATTATTCACTTCTACTATAGAGAAATGCAGTTGATTTTTGCATATTGTTGATATTGTATTGCAGAACTTGTTTATTAGGTGAATTCCTTAGGATTTCCTGCATATAAGACTGTCATTTTTTTTTTTTTTTTTTTTGAGATGGAGTCTCGCTCTGTTGCCCAGGCTGGAGTGCAGTGGCACGATCTGGGCTGACTGCAAGCTCCGCCTCCTGGGCTCATGCCAGTCTCCTGCCTCAGCCTCCTGAGTAGCTGGGACTACAGGCACTCGCCACCATGCCCAGCTAATTTTTTGTATTTTTAGTAGAGACAGGGTTTCACTGTGTTAGCCAGGATGGTCTCAATCTCCTGACCTCGTGATCCACCCGCCTCGGCCTCCCAAAGTGCTGGGATTACAGGCGTGAGCCACTGTGACCAGCCAAGACTGTCATTTTAAAATACAGATTAAAAAACAAATAAAATGAGGCCAGGTGTGGTGGCTCATGCCTGTAATCCCAGCACCTTGGGAGGCTGAGGCGGGCGGATCACGAGGTCAGGAGTTGGAGACCATCCTGGCCAACGCAGTGAAACCCCGTCTCTACTAAAAAAAATACAAAAAATTATCCAGGTGTGGTGGTGGGCACCTGTAGTCCCAGCTACTCAGGAGGCTGAGGCAGGAGAATGGCGTGAACCCAGGAGGCAGAGCTTGCAGTGAGCCGAGATCGCACCACTGCACTCCAGCCTGGGCAACAGAGCGAGACTCTGTCTCAAAAAAAATAAAATAAAATAAAATACAGTTAGATTTATATTATCCTCTTCAATCTGGATGCCTTTTATTTCTTTTTGTTACCTGATCATATTGGCTAGAACCTCCAGTACCAAGATAAATAGAAGAAGAGGCTGGGTGCAGTAGCTCATGCCTGTAATCCCAGCACTTTGGGAGGCCAAGGCAGGTGGATCACTTGAGCCTAGGAGTTTGAGACCAGCCTGGATAACATAGTGAAACCCCACCTCTATTAAAAATAAAAACAAGGCCAGGTGCGGTGGCTCACGCCTGTAATCCCAGCACTTTGGGAGGCCGAGGCAGGTGGATCATGAGGTCAGGAGATCGAGACCATATTGGCTATCGCGGTGAAACCCTGTCTCTACTAAAATACAAAAAATTAGCCAGGCGTGGTGGCGGGCACCTGTAGTCCCAGCTACTCGGGAGGCTGAGGCAGGAGAATGGCATGAACCCGGGAGGCGGAGCTTGCAGTGAGCTCAGATCGCGCCACTGCACCCCAGCCTGGGCGACACAGCGAGACTCCGTCTCAAAAATATAATAATAAAAATAAAAATAAATAATAAAAATAAAAACAAATTAGCCAGTTATGGTGGTAGATGCCTGTAGTCTCAGCTACTCAGGAGGCTGAGGTGGAAGGAATGCTTGAGACTAGGAGGTGGAGGTTGCATTGAGCCAAGATTGTGCCACTGCACTCCAGCCTGAGCAACAGAGTGAGACCCTGTCTCAAAAAAAAATAAGTAAATAGAAGAAGTGTGGACATTCTTGTCTTGTTCCCAGTCTTACGTGCATAGCTTTTAGTCTTTCACCATTAAGTGTTATGATGATTGCTCTAGGTTTTTTGTGTGTGTCCTTTATCACATTGAGCGTCAGTCTATTCCTAGTTTGCTGTTTTTATTATGAAAGGGTGTTGAGTTTTGTTAAGTGTTTTTCCTATGTCCATTGAGATAATCATGTGGTTTTGTTTCTTATTGTGTGATATGGTGTGTTACATTAATTGATTTTTGGAGATAAGCCAACCTTGCATTCCTGGAACAAATTCCATTTTGTTATAGTGTATAATTTTTTCATATGTTGCTGGATTCAGTTTCCTAATATTTTGTTGAGAAATTTTACCTCTATACTCATAACAGATACTGGTTATTGTTCTGTAGCTTCTGTTTTTCTTGTGATGACTTTGGTTTTGGTTATCAGGGTAACTATCCTTATAGAATTAGTTGGAAAGTAATCCCTCTTCTTACGTTATTTGGAATAGTTTGTGAAGAATTAGTATTAATTCTTATTTGAATTTTTAAGAAAATTCACTAGTGAAGCCATCCAGTTCTCACTTTTCTTTGTTAAGAAGATCTTGGCCAGGCCCAGTGGCTCATGCCTGTAATCCCAGCACTTTGGGAAGCTGAGGCAGGCAGATCTCGAGGTCAGGATATCAAGACCATCCTGGCCAACATGGTGAAAACTCGTCTCTACTAAAATACAAAAAAATTAGCCAGGTGTGGTGGCGCACACCTGTAGTCCCAGCTACTCTGTAGGCTGAGGCAGGGGAATCGCTTGAACCCAGGAGGCAGAGGTTGCAGTGAGCCGAGATCGTGCCACTGCACTGCAGCCTGGCAACAGAGCAAGACTCCGTCTCAAAAAATAAAAAATAAAAAAGAAGATCTTAAACACTTCGGGAGGCTGAAGTGGGAGGATGGCTTACGCCCAGAAGTTGAAGACCATCTTAGATAATATAATGTGACCTCATCTCTACTAATAATTTAAACAATTAGCAGGTGTGGTGGCACCTGCCTGTGGTCCCAGCTACTCAGCAGGCTGAGGCTGGAGGATCTCTTGAACCCAGGCAGTCAAGGGTGCAGTAAGCTGTGATCACACCACTGTACTCCAGCCTTGGAGACAGAACGAAAGCCTGTCTCAAAAAAATAATAATAATAAGTTACTGATTCAATTGCTTTTTTTGTTATAGGTTTATTCAGATTTTCTATTTTTTTCTTGAGTCAGTTTTGGTAGATTGTATCTTTCTAGGAATTGGCCCATTTCATTTATTAATTTCTTCACATATAATTGTTTATAGTATTCTTTAATATTAGAATTTAATAATTCTTAAGAATTCTTTTTATTTCTGTGAAGTTGGTAGTTATGTTCCCTCTTTCCTGATTTTAGTAATTTGGTCTTCTTTTTTTTCTTGGTGAGTTAAAATTTATCAACTTTGTTGATCTTTCAAAGACCAATTTTTGGTTTTGTTGATTTTTCTCTATTATTTTCTGTTCTCTATTTTATTAATTTTTGCTCTAATCATTGTTATTTATTTACTTCTTGTTGCTTTAGGTTTACTTTGTCCTTCTTTTTCCAGTTTATTAGGATGGAAGTTTAAGTTACTGATTTGAGATCTTTCTTCTGTTTTAATATAGGTGTTTATAGCTATCAAAAGAAATACTCCAAACACTTCTTTAGTTGCATCTCATAAATTTTGGTATGCTGTTTTTGCATTTTCATCCATTTCTTAGTATTTTCCATTTTCCCTTGTGATTTTGTCTTTTTATAAGTGTGTTGCTTAATATGCACATATTTTTGAATATCCCAAGTTTCCTTCTGTTATCAATGTCTAATTTCATTGTGTTGTGCTCGGAGGACATGCTTTGTATAATTTCAATTATTTTAACTTTATTGAACCTTATTTTATGTCTAGCATATGGTCTTCTGGGAGAATGTTCCACATGCAATTGAGAAGAATGTGTATTCAGTTGTTAATAGGTAGAGTTTTCTACAGATATCTGTTATTAATAAATGTAGTTTATCTTGTTGTTCAAGTCTTCTATATCTTAGTTGGCCTACTGCCTAGTCATACTATTTAGTATTGAAAGTAGGATATTGCAGTATCCAACCATAATTGTTGAAGAGTCTATTTCTCCTTTCAATTCTGTTAGTTTTGTTTCATTTATTTTAGGGCTGTGCTGTTAGGGGCATATGTGTTTTTGACTGTTATATATTAATACTTTGGAATTAACCCTTTTTTCCTTATAAAATGTCCCAATTTATTTCTAGTAATCTTTCTGTCTTTTTTGTTTTTATTTTATTTAGAGATGGGGTCTCACTATGATGCTTAGGCTGGAGTGCAGTGGCTAGTCACAGATGCACTCATAGCACACTACAGTCTTGAACTTCTTGACTCAAGCAATCCTCCCACCACAGCCTCCTGAGTAGTGGGGACTACAGGTGCATTCCACCATACCTAGCTAACATTTTTTGTTTTAAAGTCTATCTTTTCTGATAGTAATATAGACATTGCAACTCCCTTAAGATTGCTGTTTAGATGGCATATCTTTTTTTTTTTTTTTTTTTGAGATGGAGTCTCATTCTGTTGCCCAGGCTGGAGTGCAATGGCATGATCTCGGCTCACTGCAACCTCCACCTCCTGGGTTCATGCGATTCTCCTGCCTTAGCCTCCTGAGTAGCTAGGATTACAGGCACGCACCACCATGCCTGGTTAATTTTTGTATATGTAGTAGAGCCGGGGTTTCGCCATGTTGGCCAGGGTGGTCTCAAACTCCTGACCTCAGGTGATGCACCTGCCTTAGCCTCTCAAAGTGCTGGGATTACACATGTGAGCCACTGCACCCAGACGGTATATCTTTAAAAAAATTTTTTTAACTTACCATCTGTTTGCGTCTTTAAATCTAAAGTGTATATCCTGTATATATAATATCACATAGTTGGAACTTGTTTTGTTATCCAGTCTGACAATCTCCATCTTTGATTAAGTTATTTAATTTGGCCAAGTGTGGTGGTTCATGCCTGTAATCCCAGCACTTTGGGAGGTTGAGGCGGGTGGATCATTTCAGGTCAGGAGTTCAAGACCAGCCTGGCCAACATGGAGAAACCCCGTCTCTACTAAAAATACAAAGATTAGTCGGGCGTGGTGGCATATGCCTGTAATCCCAGCTACTCGGGAGGCTGAGGCAAGAGAATCACTTGAACCTGGGAGGCAGAGTTTGCGGCGAGCCGAGATCACGCCACTGCACTCCGGTCTGGGCGACCGAGTGAGACCCTGTCTCAAAAAAACAAATAAACAAACAAACAAAAAAAGTTATTTGGCTGAGTGCAGTGGCTCACACCTGTAATCCCAGCACTTTGGGAGGCCAAGGCGGGGGGGATCACCTGAGGTCAGGAGTTCGAGACCAGCTTGGCCAATATGGTGAAACCCCTCTACTAAAAATACAAAAATCAGCCTGGTGTGGTGGCAGCCACCTGTAATCCCAGCTACTCAGGAGGCTGAGGCAGGAGAATCACTTGAACCTGGGAGGCAGAGGTTGCAGTGAGCCGAGACTGCACCATTGCATTCCAGCCTGGGCGATAAGAGCGAAACTCCATCTTAAAAAAAAAAAAGTTATTTAATTCATTTAATTTTTATGTTATTTATGTGACTGGAATTTCATCTACCATTTTACTCTTTGTTTTCTATGTCTCATGTGTTTTTTGTTCCTCTGTTACTCTGTACTGCTTCCCTTTGCATTAAGTGAATATTTTCTGGTGGATGATTTTAATACCTTCAATGACTTTCTGAATATACATATTTTGAGTTATTTTCTTAGTAACTGCTCTAGGGCTTAGATTATACTTTTTTTTTTTTTTTTTTTTTTTTTTTTTTTTAGACAGAGTCTTGCTCTGTTGCCCAGGCTGGAGTGCAGTGGCACGATCTCGGCTCACTGCAACTTCCACCTCCCAGGTTCATGCCATTCTCCTGCTTCAGCCTCCCGAGTAGCTGGGACTACAGGTGCCCACCACCACGCCCGGCTAATTTTTTGTATTTTTTAGTAGAGATTGGGTTTCACTGTGTTAGCCAGGATGGTCTCGATCTCCTGACCTCGTGATCCGCCCACCTAGCCTCCCGAGGTGCTGGGATTACAGGCGCGAGCCACCGCGCCGGCCCTAGATTATACTTTTTAAACGTATCAGGATCTACCTCAAATGTATGCTAATTAATCCCAATGAGATATAGAAACATTACTTCTATATAATTATTCCTCCCTCCCATATTGCTAATATTTTTGTAATATATATTACATATGTATGTTACAAACCAGTTGTTATAATTATTTATGTAATTTTATGTATTTGAAAGAAGCTAAGACAAGACAAGAAAGCAAGCATATATTTATAAAGCCTGTTATGTTAACCTTTTTATTCACCATTTCCAGTTCTCTTCATTTCTTTTTGTAGATTGGTTACCATCTGGTATTATTTCCTTACTTCAGTACAGCTTTATTCCTACCTACCTTCTCTGTGAAGTTATTGTCAAATATATCACATACCTATATGTTACAGATCCAAAAATACAATTATATTCATACAATTGAATGAGTTAAGGAAAGAAAGGAGAAAAAATATGTAATTATACACACTCTTATAATTATTTACATAATTACTTTTATCATTTTTTTTTCTTTTTCCATGTAGATTTGATTTACCATCTGGGATAACTTGCTTTCAGCTTGGAGAACTTCCTTTCATGTTCTTATAAGGCGTTTCGGCTCACAGCAAGTTCTCTCAGTTGTTGCTTATCTGGAGATGTCTTAATTTCATCTCCATTTTAAAAATATAGTTTTGCTGGGCTGGGCATGGTGGCTCATGCCTGTAATCGTAGCACTCTGAGAGGCCGAGGTGGGTGAATTGCCTGAGCTCAGGAGTTCAAGACTAGCCTGGGCAACACAGTGAAAGCCCGTCTCTACTTAAAAAAAAAAAAATACAAAAAATTAGCCAGGCGTGGCGACGTGCACCTGTAGTCCCAGCTACTCAGGAGGCTGAGGCAGGAGAATCGCTTGAACCCAGGAGGTGGAGCTTGCAGTGAGCTGAGATCGCACCACTGCACTCCAGCCTGGGTGACAGAGCAAGACTCCATCTCTAAAAAAATAAATAAATAAAAAATAAAAATAAATAAAAAGATAGTTTTGCTGAATACAAGATTCTTGGTCATGTTTTTTTCTTTCAGCACTTTGAAATATGTCATACCACTGCTTTCCGGCCTCCAATGTTTCTGATGAGAAGTCAGCTATTAATCTTATTAGGGTTCCCTTGTACATGAGCCATGTTTCTCTTGCTGACTTCAAGATTCTCTTTGTTTTTCAACATTTTGCTCTTGAAATGTCTGTGTTTATATGTCTTTGCATTTATCCTACTTAAGTGTTTGCTGAGTTCCTTAGATGTTGGTTTACATTAAACTTTTTCATCAAATTTGGGAAGTTTTCAGCTATCATTTCTTCAGATATTTTTTGTTTCTTTTTCTCTTCTATCCTTCTGGTATCCCTTTATGCATATGTTGGTGCACATAATGGTGTCCCACATTTCCTTGATGTACTGTTCATTTTTTTCCTCCTTTTTCCCTCTCTGTTCTTCAGAATATATTCACTGATTATGTCTTCTGCTAGTTCAAATCTCATATTGAGCCCCTATAGTGAATTTTTTTTTTTGATACAGAGTTTTGCTCTTGTCACCTAGGCTGGAGTGCAGTGGCACAATCTCGGCTCACTGCAACCTCCTCCTCCTGGGTTCAGGCGATTCTCCTGCCTCAGCCTCCCAAGTAGCTGGAATTACAGGCGTCTGCCACCACGTCCAGCTAATTTTTGTATGTTTAGTAGAAACAGGGTTTCACCATGTTGTCCAGGCTGGTCTCGAACTCCTGACCTCAGGTGGTCCACCAGCCTTGGCCTCCCAAAGTGTTGGGATTACAGGCATGAGCCACCACACACAGCCAAATTTTTTATTTCCGTACTTTTCAACTCTAGATTTTATATTTGTTTTTTGTTTTAAACTTTCTCTTTATCAATATTCTCCATTTGATAAAACATTTTCATCATACCTTTCTTTAATTTTTATTTATTTATTTAAGATGGAGTCTTGCTCTGTTGCCCAGGCTGGAGTGCAGTGATGTGATCTCAGCTCACTGCAACCTCTGTCTCCGGAGTTCAAGTGATTCTCCTGCCTCAGCCTCCCGAGTAGCTGGGATCACAGGTGCCCACCACCCCGCCTGACTAATTTTTGTATGTTTTAGTAGAGACGGGGTTTCACCATCTTGGCCAGGCTGGTCTCAAACTCTTGACCTCATGATCCACCCGCATTGACCTTCCAAAGTGCTAGGATTACAGGTGTGAGCCACCATGCCCAGCCCCTTTCTTTAATTTTTAAGGCATAGTTTTCTTTAGTTCTTTGAATGTATTTATAATAACTACTTTGAAGTCCTTATCTGCTAGACCCAATATCTGTGTCCTCTCAAGGCAGTTTCTGTGTGAATGGGTCACACTTTCCTGTTTCTTTGTATGTCTTGTAATTTTTTTGTTGTACACTGTACATTTCCATTGCAGTAACTCTGGATACTGACCCCTGTCTCCAGGGCTTGTTGTCTTTGTTGTTGTTTGCTTGTTTATTTGTTTAGTGACTTGGCTAGACTAGTTCAGCAGAGTCTATGTCCCTCACAGTGTGCAGCCTCTGATGGTGCTCCTCAGAAAAGTGCAGTTTTGCAATGCACACTGTTATCCTGACTCTCTCCTCCTCCTTCCTCAGGGATGACAGTTTTTTTTTTTTTTTTTTTTGATGGAGTCTTGCTCTTTCGCCCAGGCTGGATGGAGTGCAGTGGCGTGATCTTGGCTTACTGCAAGCTCCATCTCCCAGGTTCACGCCATTCTCTTGCCTCAGCCTCCTGAGTAGCTGGGACTACAGGCGCCCGCCGCCACACCCGGCTAATTTTTTGTATTTTTAGTAGAGACGGGGTTTCACCGTGTTAACCAGGATGGTCTCGATCTTCTGACCTCGTGATCCACCCGCCTCAGCCTCCCAAAGTGCTGGGATTACAGGCGTGAGCCACCGCGCTCCACCAACAGTGGTTTTAACCAGGTTCTCTTTGACTTTTTTCCTCATCTCCCTGTCAAGTTTTTGGATGGTTTATCTTTGTTAATATCACTCCCAGCTGTTAGCCTCTACTAATTACTAGCTGATTGCTCCAGTGGTTTTGACATTGTCCTGTGGCATAAATTACTCCACAGACTGATCCAACAGTCATTGTTTATTTATAATTTTCACAAGTTATGATTATTTTACTGGGGAAAATGTCTAGTGAGTTCATCATGTCTTCATTCTGGAAGTGCTCTGACATTAATTTTTAAAGTCAATATGATATAGTTAAAATAGATACAAGGCAGAAAGAATTATGCATACAAGATGATCAGGGCACAGAAATTATGTCATTTTTGGTAACAAAATACTGGAAACTCTTGAGCCATCTCTTTAGCTTAAAGAAAACAGGATTGAGTAAAAGGGTATAAAAGGAACCTTGCAGGCCGGGTGCGGTGGCTCACGCCTGTAATCCCAGCACTTTGGGAGCCCAAGGCAGGTGGATCAAGAGGTCAGAAGATCAAGACCATCCTGGCTAACACGGTGAAACCCTGCCTCTACTAAAAATACAAAAAATTAGTTGGGCATGGTGGCGGGCGCCTGTAGTCCCAGCTACTTGGGAGGCTGAGGCAAGAGAATGGCGAACCCGGGAGGCGGAGCTTGCAGTGAGCCTAGATTGCGCCACTGCACTCCAGCCTGGGCGACAGAGCGAGACTCCGTCTCAAAACAATAAAAAAAAAAAAAAAAGGAAACTTGCATAAGATTAATCATATCTTCAGGAAATTTGGTTTCCTTTCTACAAATTCAGCTGTTTTACCAAGAAAATAGCTAATCAGAATAGGTAGACCTGTATATTCAGTCTTAATTAGCTTTACCAGTATACCAGGCAGCAAGGATCAAATATAAAAATGTGTTTGCTATGTTCCTTATATCATCTTTAAAATTTGATGACTGTTTCTTAACTGAGAATCAAATGATATAAAATGGGAAGCCAATGGTAGACATTGTGAACAAGCCTCACAGCCCATTTTATTTCTGCTGTACTTAAAATGGTGCTTACTTAAACCCTCAACTTCACAGAAGCCTGTCACCCTTAACCCAGCATTTTTCAGCGGTTACACAGAGCATGTGATAATGTCATAAAAAGGAGAGAAAAGTATTTAACTAGAAGTCTTCATTATTTGAAGTGATTTTGTGATCTTGTGGAGATAAGCATTGGGCGCTTGGCTAAATTATTCTTGCCGTTGCTCACTGTGATACCTTTAATAGGAGAAAACTCATTTATTGATGTTCATTAATCCCATAGGCTTAAGAGATTTTAAATATTTTGGCCAAGATTCTCATTTTATAGTCATCAGAGTGGTTGTCCTAATGTGGAGCAAAGAAATAACCTAGTTGGAGAATGGTGAATGAGAAAAGAAGCAATAGACACAGGTCCTGTGTGATTTATTTTTATTTATTTATTTATTTATTTATTTTTAGACAGAATCTCACTGTGTCACCCAGGCTGGTGTGCAGTGGCGCCATCTCAGCTCACTGCAACCTCCGCCTCCTGGGTTCAAGCGTTTCCCCTGACTCAGCCTCCTGAGTAACTGGGATTACAGGTGCCCGCCACCATGCCTGGCTAATTTTGATATTTTTAGTAGAGATGGGGTTTCACCATGTTGGCCAGGCTGGTCTTGAACAGCTGACCTCAAGTGATCCACCTGCCTCGGCCTCCCAAAGTGCTGGGATTAGAGGCACGAGCTAGGGAGCCCGGCCAGTGATCATTTGTTTTTGTATTGTTTTGTTTTTGAGATGGAGTTTTGCTGTTGTTGCCCAGGCTGGAGTGCAATGGTGTGATCTCGACTCACCGCAACCTCCGCCTCCTGGGTTCAAGTGATTCTTCTGCCTCAGCCTCCCAAGTAGCTGGGATTACAGGCATGCACCACAGTGCCTGGCTAATTTGTATTTTTAGTAGAGACAGGGTTTCTCCTTGTTGGTCACGCTGGTCTTGAACTCCCGACCTCAGGTGATCTGCCTGCCTCAGCCTCCCAAAGTACCGGGATTACAGGCATTAGCCACTGTGCCCGGCCAATCATGTCTTAATGCAATCATGCATTGCTTAATAACAGGAATATGTTCTGAGAAACTTGTCGTTAGGTGATTTCATCATCTGGTGAATATTGTGCGTAGAGTGTACTTACAGAAACCTAGATAGTACATCCTCCTGTACACCTAGACTAAATGATATAGCCTATTGCTTTTAGGTTACATATCTATACAGTATGTTACTATAGTGAATGCTGTATGCAACTGTAAGACAATGGCAAATATTTTTGTATATCTAAACATACCTAAACATTAAAAAGGTAATTCATTGCACTATAATGTTAGGATGACTATGGCATCACTAGGCAACAGGAATTTTCAGCTATGGGACCACTGACCTGTATGCAGTCCATCACTGACCAAAACATCATTATAAAGCATATGACTGTATCATATTAACTGTTTAACTTAAGCTTCAGGGCAGAAGCTGTGCCCAGAAATGACCAAAACTTCTTATTGGAGTTTTGACAGCTGAGGTTCATGAGAGAATTTCGCTTTTTTTCTCTTAATTAATCTCACTGAGTTAGCATAGACAGCAAACAAACACATGTCCCCATGACTTCTTTGCCTCCTTTTTTCCCTTATTCTATCCCCTTCACCAGTCCACTGATGTTGCCAACTTTATCTGTAAGCCATCTCTGAGTACTCCCTTCAGTCCTTTTTTACATTATAGGGAGTACTTTTTTACATTATAGGGGAGTACTTTTTATGGACTTTTTTACATTATAGTTACTCAATCTCACTCACACTACAGATGATGACATATAGCAGTTTGAACCTTATCTGTTTTGCCTTTGAAATGTAATTGTTTTACTTCGAATTTATTTATTTATTTATTTATTTTTGAGACGGAGTCTTGCTCTGTTGCCCAGGCTGGAGTGCAGTGGCACCATCTCGGCTCCCTGCAACCTCCGTCTCCCAGGTTCAAGTGATTCTCCTGCCTCACCTCCTGAGTAACTGGAACTACAGGCACAGCATCCCCACGCTTTGCTAAGTTTCGTATTTTTATTAGAGATGGGGTTTCAGCATGTTGGCCAGGCTGGTCTCAAACTTCTGACCTCAGGTGATCCACCTGGCCTCGGCCTCACAAAGTGCTGGGATTACAGGCATGAGCCACTATGCCCGGCCCTTTACTTTGAATTTAAAGTAATATAAAAAATTAATTAATGTCATATGTTCCCTGATAATCACAGAAAGGGGAGCTCATTTATTGATGCCAGTGACACATATCCCCGTCTCTATATACAGAGGACCCACTGGTTATCCTGAAATGCCCACCCTAACTCAATCCCCACTATCCTTGCCTGACTTTCACTTTCCTTCTCTAGGGACTATTCACAAACTAACCTTTGCACCCAGGCTGTTAGGTGTCCATTATCTTCACTCCTTCTCTTCCTCTATACTCCTGCTCTGTGATCTGTTTATACATCAGTTACAGTACATATTGCAGAGTATCATAGTACTTTCTTTTCTTTTTGTTTTCGAGATGGAGTTTCACTCTTACTGCCCAGGCTGGAGTGCAATGGCGTGATCTCAGCTCACTGCAACCTCCGCCTCCCGGGTTCAAGTGATTATCTTGTCTCAGCCTCCCAAGTAGCTGGGATTACAGGCACCCGCCACCACACCCAGCTGATTTTTGTATTTTTAGTAGAGATGGGGTTTCACCATGTTGGCCAGACTGGTCTTGATTTCCTGACCTGGTGATCTGCCCGCCTCAGCCTCCCAAAGAGCTGGGATTACAGGCGTGAGCCGCCGTGCCCAGCCTGTACTTTACTTTCTTGTGGGCACGTCTACAAAGCTGAAACTGTCATTTGTTCATCTCTCTGCCCCCTGTACCTAGCACACAGTAGGTGTTGAATAACATCTGTTGACACTGAACAATACCACTTTGGTACATTTTCCTTATCTGTAAGACAAGGGTAATGACATTCTTTATTTAATAAGGATTTCCTGAGGTTGGATTAATTGCTTAATTCTTAAAATGTAAAGTAGGACAGGCTGGGTGCAGTGGCTCACGCCTGTAATCCCAGCACTTTGGGAGGCCAAGTGGGTGGATTACATGAGGTGAGAAGGTTGAGACCAGCCCCACCAACATGGTGAAACCCTGTCTCTACCAAAACTACAAAAAAATTAGCTGGATGTGGTGGGAGGTGCCTGTAATCCCAGCTACTCAGGAGGCTGAGGCCGGAGAATCGCTTGAACCCCGGGGGGTGGAGTTTGCAGTGAGCCAAGACCGCGCCATTACACTCTAGCCTGGGCAACAAGAGCGAAACTCTGTCTCAAAAAAAAAAAAAAAAAGTAGGACAATGTTAATACAAAAAAGCAAGTGAAAGAAGAGATTTGTTTTAATGAACCACAGATGGGGAGTTCCATTAACCGGAGGAGTCAACAGTTAAAAAAAAGAATTATGGAACACTCATTTAATGAAAGCCACTGACTACTCAAAGAAGTCTAAGAAACCTCAAGATAATTGACTCTTACAGGGTTAACTGGTGTCAAGCACTATGCCCTCTCCATTTTTTCAAGAAAGTTACAATCCAGATGTGATGTCAGGTCACATGCTAGTGAAGAGAAAAAATGCAAAATAGTGCCAGCTATGTGTCAGTAAATTATAAATTGCAACAGCACATAAGTCTACTTCATCTTCTTTGAGAACTCTTCTTCTTTTCTTTGAGAACCCACTTGTGTCTGGCTAGACTAAAAGGCAAAGTAGACTAATAAAATGACATGTTGAAAGAGTTTGCACCAAGTACACTGTCACTGACAACAATCAACCATAACATGTAAGCCACCCTCCAATTTAAAAAGGCAGACCTGTTTTTGAGGGTGGCACATTCAATTGAAAATGTAAACCTAGTCCAGGGTTGGTGGCTCACACCTGTAATCCCAGCACTTTGGGAGGCCCAGGCAGAAGGAGCCTAAGAATTTGAGACCAGCCTGGGCAATATGGTGAGACCTCATCTCTACAAAAAAAAAAAAAGTAAAAAACAAAAACAAACAAACAAAAAACATTACTAGCCTGGACAATATGGTGAAACTCCGTCTCTACAAAAAATGGAAAAATTAGCCGAGGATGGTGGCTCCCACCTGTAGTCCCAGCTACTTGGAAGAATGAGGCATGAGAATCGCTTGAGCCTGGGTGGCGGAGGCTGTAGTGAGGTGAGATGGCGCCACTGTACTCCAGCCTGGCAACAGAGTGAGACTCTGTCTCAAAAAAAAAAACAAAAACAAAAAAAAACATTAGCCAAGCGTGGTGGCACGCGCCTGTAGTCCCAGTCCCTCCCTGTCGTCCCCCTGGGGAGGCTGAGGTGGGAGGATCGCTTGAGCTGCAGAGGCGGAGGTTGCAGTGAGCTGAGATTGGATCACTGCACTCCAGCCTGGGAGACAGAATGAGACCCTGGCTCAAAAAAAAAAAAAAAAAAAAAAAAGAGAGAAAGAAGTTATAAACCTATTTTAATAGTATCCCTGCTACAGCCCCTCACCCACCTCCACAATGGCCTCCTTCAATTATTGAGTTCTCTCCCACAGCCTCTAGGGTAAACGCCTCCCCCCAACAAAGTTGCTAACTGCTCCCCCCACACAGAAGACTAGCTCATTTTCTCCACCACTTCCGCCTATTTCCTAATGGACTCAAGTGTTTTCATATTGAATTTCTGCTGACCTTGAATTAAACTAAACTATATCCTATTTTGGGCCACAGATAAATCAGGGGGAAAGCAGAGTTCATAGTCTATGATGATTTTCTGGCTGCCTAATCACGTATACAATGTCAATGGGAATAGCACTCTAGAGATAAAGCTGCTTTAGTTCACCTGCACCCTGTGCTTTTCACCCCATGACTCAAGCAGGAGGTATTTTACTGAATTGAATGGCTTCCTATTCTGGATAAGAATAACAAATTAGGAAGCCCCCTATAATTAAATCATCCCAGGGCTCCATACACTGAGCCTTTTAAAGCAAAGCTCCCACTGTCATTAGATGCCTCAAGCAGGAGGCAGGAAACTTACCTTTGAAGTTCTTTTTGGCACATAGAAAACTGTAGGAACTCAACAAATATGAGCCTATGGTTTATATACACTTGAGTATTAAAATGAATCTTAGTGTGATAAGAGGGAACCCAGCAACAACAAGCAGAGCAAGTCTTTATTTTCTGCTTCCCTTGTTAATTTAAAGCTGTGACCTGGAAAGTTAGTTCAGCCTGCTGAGTAGTCTGTGTCCTCAAGTCAAACACAACTTTTAGGTAAGTGACTCTCATTTTATGTAACTTGAAATCTTTCAGTCAGAATCATGGAATGGTAGATACGACTAGCTGGAAATTACTCTATGTTGTCTTTGTTAGTCCTCTCATATTTCAGTATACATACAAATAAGGTGGGGATTTTTTCTTTCTTTCTTTCTTTCTTTTTTAGATGGAGTCTCACTCTGTCACACAGGCTGGAGTGCAGTGGCACAATCTCGGCTCACTGCAACCTCCGCCTCCTGGCTTAAAGCGATTCTCCTGTCTCAGCCTCAAAAAAATATCTAGGATTACAGGCACCTGCCACCACGCCCAGCTAATTTCTGTATTTTTAGTAGAGATGGGGTTTCACCATGTTGGCCAGGCTGGTCTTGAACTCCTGACCTCAGGTGATCCTCCCCCTTCAGCCTCTCAAAGTGCTGGGATTACAGGTGTGAGCCACCATGCCCAACCTAGGTGGGGATTTTGTTAAAGTTTCAAGTTCTGATTTAAATGGTCTAGAATTGGGCCCCAGATTCTGCATTTCAAACCAATTTTCTTTTCTTTTCTTTTTTTTTTTTTTTTTGAGATGGAGTCTCGCTCTGTCGCCCAGGCTGGAGTGCAGTGGCGCGATCTCGGCTCACTGCAACCTCTGCCTCCCAGGTTCATGCCATTCTCCTGCCTCAGCCTCCCCAGTAGCTGGGACTACAGGCGCTGCCACCATGCCCGGCTAATTTTTTGTATTTTTTAGTAGAGATGGGGTTTCAGTGTGTTAGCCAGGATGGTCTCAATCTCCTGACCTTGTGATCCGTCTGCCTCAGCCTCCCAAAGTGCTGGGATTACAGGCGTGAGCCACCGTGCCCGGCCCTCAAACCAATTTTCACGTGATGATGTTGCTCATGTGTTGATTACAGTTTGAGGAGCAAAACTTCTAGGCTAACTCCCTTATTTTATAAATGAAGTCCAGAGAAGTGAAATGACTCTGTGATTTTACATCTGTTTCAATTTTTTTTATTCATTAACATAATTTCAAAATAGCATAAATTTGAAACAGGAACTGATTTCTGGGAGATGAGAAAAAAATTTATAAGTTCACAACATTTTTAGTTTTGTTATTTATTTTTGTATTTTCCATGGTCTAAAAACATGCTAATAACATGTGCTAGATTCACTGTTACAAGGGTGTCACTTTAACCCACAATAATTTGTTCTTATCATAATCAGTTAATAGGTTCATTGTATTTCCACAGATGTATGACAGTGTACTGAGCATCATATCATGATATACTCATCCTGTCTCATTCTGCCACCTTTTATTTAATCTTAATTTTATATTTTAACTCAAACAGTTCCAGAGATTCTACTTACGTTCAGCAAGGAGCCTAGATTATTCCATTATTACAATAGGAGGCTAGATTATTCCATTTCTTTCCCCTATCTCATAACTAGGAAGCACACTTGAGATAAAAAGAGGGGCTGGGCGCGGTGGCTTATGCCTGTAATCCCAGCACTTTGGGAGGCTGAGGCAGGCGGATCACAAGGTCAGGAGATTGAGACCATCCTGGCTAACACGATGAAACCCCATCTCTACTAAAAATACAAAAAAAAAAAAAAAATTTTGCCGGGAGCAGTGGTGCATGCCTGTAGTCCCAGCTACTCGGGAGGCTGAGGCAGGAGAATTGCTTGAACCTGGGAGGTGAAAGTTGCAGTGAGCCGAGATTGTGCCACTGCACTCCAGCCCGGGCGACAGAGCAAGACTTTGTTAAAAAAAAAAAAAAAAAGAGATAAAAAGAGAAACATTCAGCCAGCCACGGTGGGGTGCACCTGCGTTCCGAGCTACTCAGGAGGCTGAGGTAGGAGGATAGCTAGAGGATGGGAGGTTGAAGCTTCAGGGAACAATGATAGCACCACTGTATTCCAGCCTGGGCGACAGAGCAAGACCCTGCCTCAAAAGGAAAAAAAAAGAGAGAGAGAGAGAGAGAAACATAGGATGTCTTTCTTTACTTTCTGACTCAGCAATTTAAAATTACAGCTCAGAGTTCCCTTAAGAGTTAGTTTAATTTGCTGAGTTCTTGGGAGAATTCTGCTTTTTTTTTTTTTTTTTTGAGACAGAGTCTCTCTCAGTCATCTACACTGGAGTGCAGTGGCACAATCTCAGCTCACTGCAACCTCCGCCTCTCAGGTTCAAGCGATTCTCCTGTCTCAGCCTCCTGAGTAGCTGGGATTACAGGTGCATGCCACCATACCCAGCTAATTTTTGTATTTTCTGTAAAGCCAGGGTTTTATCATGTTGGCCAGGCTGGTCTTGAACTCCTGACCTCAGGTAATCCGCCTGCCTCAGCCTCCCAAAGTGCTGGAATTATAGGTGTGAGCTACCACACCTGGACCTGCCAATCTTTTTTAAAAAATCATTTTAATATAATTTAAAAACTTTTAATAGTAATGTTTAAAAATACTTAAACATATATGCACCAATTTTAGGTCTCTGGTCTCTCCATTCCTTTAGGAAAGCAAATAGTGAGTCACTAGAAAATTTCCAAATGAAAAAATGTTTCTCCCCTAGAGGCTGTCATCCTGAGTGATCCAAGAGTCAACTGCCTTACTTCTCTATGGGATGGGGGAACAAAATGAAACCTAGGGTTAACAGTTTCTCATTTTTAAAATGAATTGTCTGAATGAACAAATAGTATCAAGAAATGTCTGCTGCATATCTGTGGGATGCAAGCCTCTGTGGGTCATGTAATAAATTGTAAAATTCTATTTCTGTCCCAGGGTCTAGTTGGGGTAGTCTACTTGGATGGCCACACAAAAAAACTGTGATAAATCAAATAATGATTCAAGATTATATAATAATCTAAAGCAATAGAGCAATAGAACAATACCAAATAAATTGCTAATTTCGTAGAAGAGCAAGAAGGATCTATAGAAATTAAGAGAAAGAAGTGTTCCACTAGGGTGGAGGAGTTTAAAAAATAATCTCGGAGTTATCTCAGAAGATAAATGTGGTATGAAGCAAAAGCAGTTGTCTTTCAACTGGAAAGGACTTTTATCAGAACTGAAAAAAATGCTTTATCAAGGACTAACTGAAAGAATCCTTTGTTAACTTGTAATAGTCAGAATGTAATTTCAAGGACAGCTGGGACCCTATAGCAATTTTACATAAGATAGGCTGCTATTTAGCCTTTCAAAGACTGCTTTTCATCACTGGAAAATGAGAGGGTTGATGATCTCCAAGACCCATTCCAGTCTAAGATGATTAAGTTCTGGGACCCCCTTGAAAACTTTTGGTTTGAAAAATTCACTGGATTATCAGCTTCATATATAAAACTTCCCCAGCACCCTTCAGCATCTATGACATTTGGTATTTATTGCTTGACATTAGGAATCTCCAATCAGCTTTTCATTCACTGAACATGTTTGTTGCAGTGTTATAATATCATAGTCCCATGCTAGACATGGAGGTAGGAAAATAAGTGTCAACATTTATTTTAAAATTTGGGATATATTAAAGGTGTAGAATGAGAAAGAGAAAGTAAAAAGCAAAAATGAAAAAGAAAAAACCACATAATAAAGGTCAAGATAATTCAATGGAGGGAAAGAATAGTTTTACTGTTATTTTTAATGAATAATGCTGGGACAATTTTATATCCACCTACAAAAGAGTGAAGTTGGACCCGTACCTAGACTATGTATAAAAATAACTGAAAACAGAGTTAAAGAGCTAAAATTATAAACCTAGTTTCATAATTTTGTTTTATAATTTTATTAGTAGTTAGTAAGGGCTAAAATTATAAAACTCTTAGAAGAAAACATCGTAGAAAATTTTTGTGACTTAAAATTAGGCAATGGTTTATTAGATATAACACTTAAAGCACAAATAAAAAAAGAAAAAATAGGTAAATTGGACTTCAAAATTTAAAATGCTAGTACTTCAAAGAACAGCAGTGAAAGTGAAAAGTCATCCCACAAAATGAGAGAAAACATTCGGAAATCATGTGGCTAATAAGGCACTACTATCCAAAGTGTACATCTCTGACTACTAAACAATGGAAAAGACAAATAATTTCTCATTGTGGTTAAAGGATTTGAATAGACATTTCTCCAAAGAAGACATGCAAATGAGGAATGAGCATGTTAGTCATTAGGGAGATGTAAATAAAAATCACGATGAGATACTACTTCCCACCTGTTAGGTTGGGCTATACTCAAAAGATGGACATTTATTTGTCAATTATACATACCTCAATAAACCTGGGGTGGGAATGGGAAGATGATCAATAACAAATGTTACCTGATATGCAGAAATTGGAACTCTCATACATTACTGGTGGGAATATGATGTCATACAGTTACTTTGGAACACAGTTTGACAGTTTCTCAAGATGTTAAACATAGAGTTACCATAAGAACCAGATATACTCCTAGGTATATCTCCAAGAAAGTTAAAAACATGTCTGTACAAAACGTCGTGCACAGGTTTTTGTTGTTGTTGTTGTTGAGACGGAGTTTCGCTCTTGTTACCCAGGCTGGAGTGCAATGGCGTGATCTCGGCTCACTACAACCTCCACCTGGCCGCACAGGTTTCATAATAGCTAAAAAGCAGAAAACGACTGGGCGCAGTGGCTCATGCCTGTAGTCCCAGCACTTTTGGAGATGGAGGCAGGCAGATCACCTGCAGTCAGGAGTTCAAGACCAGCCTGGCCAACATGGTGAAACCCTGTCTCTACTAAAAATACAAAAATTAGCCAGGCGTGGTGGCACACTCTTGTAACTCCAGCTACTCGGGAGTCTGAGGTGAGAGGATCACTTGAACACAGGAGGCAGAAGTTTCAGTGAGCCGAGATTGCACCACTGCACTCCAGCCTGGGCAACAGAGTAAGACTCCATCTCAATAATAAATAAATAAATAGATAAAAAGCAGAAAAAAACAAATGTCCATCAAATGATGAATGGATAAACAACATGTGGTATATTCATACAATGGAATAATATTCAGCTATTAAAAGGAAGAAAGTACTGAAACATTACAATGTGCCTGAACCTAAAAAACATTAAACTGAGTGAAAGAAGCTAGATACAAAAGGCTATCTAATGTATTATTTCTTTTCTATTAAATGTCCAGAATAGGCAACTGCATAGAGACAGAAGCAGATTATAGTTGCTAGGGGTGGCAGGAAAGGTGAAATGGAGAATCACTGCATCATGGGCATAGGGTTACTTTTGGGGTGATGGAAATGTTCTGGAGTTAGACAGTGGTGATGGGTGCACACAAAGTGAATATACAAAAAAAAAAACACTGGGTTGTACACTTTAATCGTACAAATGAATTTTATGTTATGTGAATTTTATCTCTTTTTTTTTTTCTTGAGACGGAGTCTCACTCTGTCGCCCAGGCTGGAGTGCAGCGGCGAGATCTCGGCTCACTGCAAGCTCCGCCTCCCGGGTTCACGCCATTCTCCTGCCTCAGCCTCCCGAGTAGCTGGGACTACAGGCGCCCGCCACCACGCCCGGCTAATTTTTTTTTTTGGTAGAGACAGGGTTTCACTGTGTTAGCCAGGATGGTCTCCATCTCCTGACCTTGTGATCCGCCCACCTCGGCCTCCCAAAGTGCTGGGATAACAGGTGGGAGCCACCGCACCGGGCCCTATGTGAATTACATGTCTTTTTTTTTTTTTTTTTTTTTTTTTTTTTTTTTTTTTTTTTTTTTTTTTTTTTTTTTTGAGACAGAGTCTCGCGCTGTCGCCCAGGCTGGAGTACAGTGGCGAGATCTCGGCTCACTGCAAGCTCCGCCTCCCGGGTTCACGCCATTCTCCTGCCTCAGCCTTCGGAGTAGCTGGGACTACAGGCACCCGCCACCACGCCTGGCTAATTTTTTTTGTAATTTTTAGTAGAGACGGGGTTTCACTGTGTTAGCCAGGATAATCTCCATCTCCTGACCTCATGATCCACCCGCCTCGGCCTCCCAAAGTGCTGGGATTACAGGCGTGAGCCACCGCACCCGGCCAGTGAATTATATCTCAATTAAAAAAACACCTGTTATTATTAGACAAGTATAGACGGATTATTACGGGAGCAGCTAACTCCAAATGAGAGAGGTTGCAAAGGCTAAGATAAGGAAGTGATGAGTAGAATCTGAACAATAATGCCAGATGAAGACAGTGGGTAGAGAGAGAGTCAGCATACAGAAAAGGCTGTGTTTAGACTTGCCACTAGTAAGCTAGTCTTGCCATTTACTAGCTGTGTGACCTTGGACAGGTTACTTAATCCCACTAACGTGACTGTCCTCATCAGCAAAATAGAGGATAAAACTACAGTAGTCCCCCCTTATCTGAGGGGGGGGTTTCCAAGACCCTCAGTGGATCCCTGAAACCGTGGATAGTACCATGTATATACTATGCGTGAACTTTTTTTTCCTTCAACACAATTTTGCAGATAGAAGATTCATTCTTACCATAGATCTTAGCAACCTCAGCATATGATTGTGTTTTTCCTTATTAGGTCAAGAACTTCCACCTTTTCACTTAAGGAAAGCATTTTGCGCCTTCTCTTTGGCATATCTGAATTGCCAGCATCAATACCATTGTGCTTTGGGACCATTATTAAGTAAAATAAGAGTGATTTGAAACACAAGCATTGGGGAACCTCAACAGCCTATCTAACCCAGATGGCAAATGACTCATAGGGAGGTAGTGTAGGCAGGTGGATATGCTGGACAAAGGGATGATTCAGTTTCTGGGTGGGTCAGAACAGGATAGCATGAGATTTCATCACACTACTCAGAATGGTGGGCAATGTACGAATTGCTTATTTCTGCCATTTTCCATTTAATATTTTTGGACTGTGGTTGACTGTAGGTAACTGAAACTGCTGAAAGGGAAACCTTTGATAAGGGGTGGCTAGTATACGTACTTCATGGAATTACTGTGCAAATTAGATGGGATATTGTATGTGGAGCATCCAATACATATTCAACAAATGTAGCCTTCTCTTTCTCCCCTGCATCTCTTCTTTTTATTTATTTATTTATTTATTTATTTTCTTTGAGACGGAGTCTTGCTCTGTTCCCCAGGCTGGAGTGCAGTGGCACCATCTCAGGCTCACTGCAACCTCAGCCTCCCAGGTTCAAGTGATTCTTTTGCCTCAGCCTCCCGAGTAGCTGGGACTACAGGCGCCTGCCACCACACCCGGCTAAGTTTTGTATTTTTTGGTAGAGATGGGTTTTCGCCACATTGAGCAGGCTAATCTCAAACTCCTGACCTCAGGCGATCTGCCCGCCTCGGCCTCCCAAAGTGCTGGGATTACAGGCGTGAGCCACTGCGCACGGCCCCCTCAATCTCTTCTTATTGCTGTTTTAAGTGGAATTAATGGTTAACATAAAGGCAGAGTAGTGAAAAGGCCTAGCTTACGAGAAATTCAATGACTGAAGTATGAAGGCAGTTGGAAGCAGAGGAAATGCTTCTGAGTAAAAAAATAAAGACTCTGTAAGCCATTTGTTTGTGTCATCTGTGATTTCTTTCTGCAGTGCTTTGTAGGTCTCCTTGTAGAGATCTTTCACTTCCTTGGTTAAGTATATTCCTAGGTATTTTATTTTTTTGCAGCTGTTGTAGGAGGGATTGAGTTAATGATTTGACTCTTGACTTGGTCGTTGTTGGTATGCTGATTTGTGTGTATTGATTTTGTAACCTGAAACTTTACTGAATTCATTTATCAAATCTAGGAGTCTTTTGGAGGAGTCTTTAGGGTTTTCTAGGTATACAATCATATCATCAGCAAATAGCAATAGTTTGACTTCCTCTTTTCCAATTTGGATCCCCTTTATTTCTTTCTGTTGTCTGTCCTGGCTGGGACTTCCAGTACTATGTTGAATAGAAGTGGTGAAAGTAGGCATCCTTGTCTTATTCCAGTTCTTAGTGGGGAATGCTTTCAACTTTTCCTGTTCAGTATTACGTTGGCTGTGGATTTGTCATATACGGCTTTTATCATTTTGAGATGAGTCCCTTCTATGCCTAGTTTCTTGAGGATTTTTATCATAAAGCAATACTGGATTATATTGAATGATTTTTCTGCATCTATTGAAATCATCATATGGCTTTTGTTTTTAATTCTGTTGATGTGATGTATCGCATTTATTGACTTGCATATGTTAAACTAAACCTGCATCCCTGGGATGAAACCCACTTAATCATGGTGTATTTTTTTGATGTGCTGTTGGATTCGATTAGTTAGTATTTTGTTGAGAATTTTTGCATCTGTGTTCTATGTTCATCAGGGATATTGGTCTTAAGGGTTTCTTTTTTTGTTGTTATGCCCTTTCCTAGTTTTGGTATCAGAGTGATATAGGCTCCATAGAATGAGTTAGGGAGGTTTCCCTCTTTCTCAATCTTTTGGAATGGTTTCAGTAGGATCGGCACCAGTTCTACTTTGAATGTCTGGTAGAATTTGCCATGAATCCATCTAGCCCTGGGCTTTTTTGTTGTTGCTGGCAATTTTTTTTGTGGGGGGAGTTATGGGGTCTCACTGTCACCCAGGTTGGAGTGCAGTGGCATGATCTTGGCTCACTTCAACCTCTACCTTCCATGCTCAAGCAATCCTCCCACGTCAGCCTCCCAAGTAGCTGGGACCACAGGCATCTGCCAGTAAGCCTGGCTAATTTTCTGTATTTTTGGTAGAGATGGGGTTTCACCATGTTGCCCAGGTTGGTCTTGAACTCCTGAGCTTGGGCGATCCACCCACCTTGGCCTCCCAATATGCTGGGGTTACAGGCGTGAGCCATAGCACCTGGCCGACAATTTTTAAATTACTGATTCAATCTCACTGCTTGTTACTGATCTGTTCAGGGTTTCTGTTTCTTCCTGATTTAATCTAGAAGGGTTGTATGTTTCCAGGAATGTATCTATTCCCTCTAGATTTTCTAGTTTGTGTGCATAGAGGTGTTCATAGTAGTCCAGAATGATATTTTGTTTCTGCGGCATCGGTTGTCATTTCTGTTTCATTTCCAATTGAGTTTATTTGAATCTTCTCTCTTCTTTTCTTGATTAATCTAGCTAATGGTTTATAAATTTTGTTTATCTTTTCAAAGAACCAGATTTTTGTTTCATTGATGTTTTGTGTTGTTTATTTTTGTTTCAATTTCTGCTCTGATCTGTGTTATTTCTTTTCTTCTGCTAGCTTTTGGTTTAATTTGTTCTTGTTTCTCCAGCTCCTTGAGGTGTAACATTAGGTTGTGATCTTTCAGACTTTTTGTGATCTTTCAATTTGTGATCTTTCAGACTTTTTGATGTAGGCATTTAGTGCTATAAGCTTTCCTCTTAGCACTGCTTTTGCTTAACCCAGAGGGCTTGATAACTTAGTATCACTGTTATCATTAACCTTAGAGAATTTTTAAAATTCAATTTTGATTTTATTGTTACCCCAAAAATCATTCAGGAGCAGATTGTTTAATTTCCATGTATTTGTGTGGTTCTGAGGGTTCCTTTTGTAGTTGATTTCTAGTTTTATTCCACTGTGGTCTGAGAAGATACTTGATAAAATTTCAGTTTTTTAAAAATTTACTGAGACTTATTTTGTGGCCTATCATATGATCTGTCTTGGAAAATGTTCCACGTGCTGAAGAGAAGAATGTTTATCCTGCAGTTCTCTGGTAGAATGTTCTGTAAATATCCGTTAGGTCCATTTGTTCTAGAGTGTAGTTTTAAATCCATTTTTTTCTTTGCCGACTTTCTGTCTTGATGATCTGTCTAATGCTGCGAGTGGAGTGTTGAAGTGCCCCACTATCATTGTGTTGCTGTCTATCTCATTTCTTAGGTCCAGTAGTAAATGTTTTATGAATCTTAGAGCTCCAGTATTGGTACATATGAATTTAGGATTGTAATATCTTCTTGTTGGATTGATCCTTTTATCATTATATAATTATCTTCTTTGTCCTTTTTTTTTTTTTTTTTACTGTTGTTGCTATTTACTTATTTATTTATTGAGACAGGGTCTGGCTTTATTGCTCAGGCAGGAGTAGAGTGGGATGATCACAGCTCACTGCAGCCTGAACCTACGACACACAAGTGATTGTCCCACTTCAGCCTCCTCATTAGCTGGGATTGCAGGCACACACCACCACACCAGGCTAATTTTTAAATTTTTTCATAGAGACAGGGTCTTGCTGTGTTGCCTAGGCTGGTCTTGAACTCCTGGGTTCAAGGGATCCTCCTGCCTCAGCCTCCCAAAGGGCTGAGATTGCAGGTGTGAACTGCCACACCTGGCTGTTGTTGCTTTAAAGTCTATCTTATCTGATAGAAGAATAGCTACTCCTGCTTGCTTTGGGTTTCCATTTGCATGGAATATCTTTATCCACTCCTTTACCTTGAGTTTATCTGAATCTTTATGTGTTATATAAGTCCCTTGAAGACAACAGATATTTGGTTTGCAATTTTTAGACCCATTCTGCCAATCTGTATCTTTTAAGTGAAGCATTTAGGCTGTTTACATTCAACATTAATATTGAGATTTGAGGCTGGGTATGGTGGTGGCTCACACCTATAATGCTAGCACTTTGGGAAGCTGAGGTGGAAGAATTACTTGAGCCCAGGAATTCCAGAGCAGCCTGGGCAACATGGCGAAACCCCATCTCTACAAAAAATACACACACACACACACACACACACACACACACACACAAACTTAACTGGGTGTGATGGTGCACACCTATAGTCCCAGCTACTCAGGAGGCTGAGGTGGGAAGCCCACTTGAGCCCAGGAGGTGGAGGTTACAGTGAGCCAAGATTGTACCACTGCACTCCAGCCCAGGTGACAGAGCAAGACCCTGTCCCCTCCCTGCAAAAAACAAAAAAACCCAAAAAGGCCATGCCTGCAATCCCAGCACTTTGGGAGGCTGAGGCGGGCAGATCACGAGGTCAAGAGATGGAGACCATCCTGGCCAACATGGGGAAACCCCGTCTCCACTAAAAATACAAAAATTAGCTGAGCATGGTGGCAGGCACCTGTAATCCAAGCTACTCGGGAGGCTGAGGCAGAAAATTGCTTGAACCAGGGAGTCAGAGGTTGCGGTAAGCCGAGATTGTGCCAATGTACTCTAGCCTGGCGCCAGAGTGAGACTCCATCTCAAAAAAAAAAAGAGAGATGTGAGGTACTGTTCCAGTCATCATGTTATTTGTTACCTAGATACTTTGTTTTATTCACTGTGTTATTGTTTTATATGCCCCATGAGTTTTATGCCATCAAGAGGTTCTACTCTAGTGCATATCAGCCTTTTGTTTCAGGATTTAGAACAGCTTTTAGCATTTCTTGTTGGGCTGGTCTGGTAGTGACAAGTTCCCTAAGCATTTGTTTGTCTGAAAATGATTTTATTTCTCCTTTATTTATGAAACTTAGTTTTGCTACATACAAAATCGTTGGCTAGGTTGGGCGTGGTGGCTCATGCCTGTAATCCTAGCACTTTGGGAGGCCAAGATGGGAGATGACTTGAGCTCAGGAGTTCAAGAGCAGCCTGGGCAGCATGGTGAAGCCCCATCTGTACAAAAAATACAAAAATTAGCCATGTGTGGTGGGATGCACTGAAGTGGGAGGGTCACCTGAGCCCAGGGAGGTTGAGGTTGCAGTGAGCCATGATCGTGCCATTCCACTCCAGCCTGGGCAAGAGAGTGAGACCCTGCCTTAAAAAAAAATTCTTAATGGGCCGGGCTTGGTGGCCCATGCCTGTAATCCCAGCACTTTGGGAGGCCGAGGTGGGTGGATCACAAGGTCAGGAGATCGAGAACATCCTGGCTAATACGGTGAAACCCCGTCTCTACTAAAAATACAAATATTAGCTGGGTGTGGTGGCGGGTGCCTGTAGTCCCAGTTACTGGGGAGGCTGAGGCAGGAGAATGGCGTGAACCCAGGAGGTGGAGCTTGCAGTGAGCCGAGATGGTGCCACTGCACTCCAGCCTGGGTGACAAAGCAAGACTCCCTCTCAAAAAAAAATTCTTGCTGGGCGTGGTGGCTCACGCCTGTAATCCCAACACTTTGGGAGGCTGAGGTGGGTGGATCATGAGGTCAGGAGTTCGAGACCAGTCTGGTCAACATAGTGAAATCCCGCCTCTACTAAAAATACAAAATTAGCAGGGCATGGTGGTGCATGCCTGTAATCCCAGCTACTTTTGAGGCTGAGGCAAGATAATCACATGAACCCAGGAGGCAGAGGTTGCAGTGAGCCGAGATCGTGCCACTGTACTCCAGCCTGGGCGACAGAGCGAGACTCTGTCTAAAATAATAATAATAATAATAATAATTCTTGGCTGACTGTTACTCAGTTTAAGGAGGCTGAAGATAGGATCCCAATCCCTTCTGGCTTGTAAGGTTTCTGCTGAGGCCCTTGAATAATTCTACAATTACAACAATAAGAGGTCTTTAGAATGCTTATTCTGGGCTGGGTGTAGGGGCTCATGTTTGTAATGCCAGCACTTTTGGAGGCCAAAAAACCGAGTTAACAAAAAAAAAGATTTGACATGACACTGATATAAAGCTTTATATTTTTAATATTTATTTACTTATTTTTGAGATAGTAGGGTCTTGCTCTTTCGTCCGGGCTTGAGTGCAATGGCACGATCATGGCTCCCTACAACCTTGAATTTCTGGGTTTGAATGATCCTCCCACCTCAGCCTTCTGAGTAGCTGGGACTACTGTGAGCCACCTCACCTGGCCAAAAATTTTTATTTTACTTATTTATTTTTGAGACAGAATCTCGCACTGTCATCCGGCTGGAGTGCAATGGCATGATCTTGGCTCACTGCAACCTTTGCCTCCCGGGTTCACGCGATTCTCCTGCCTCAGCCTCCTGAGTAGCTGGGATTACAGGCGCACACCACCACACCCGGCTAATTTTTTGTATTTTTAGTAGAGATGGGGTTTCACTCTGTTGGCCAGACTGGTCTCGAACTCCTGATCTCGTGATCCACCCGCCTCGACCTGCCAAAGTGCTGGGATTACAGGCATGAGCCACTGTGCCTGGCCAAAATTTTTATTTTAATACATTAGAAGTATACAAGCAAAAATCTATTCTCAGTTACAGAAGCCCAATATTTTAAAATATAGCATATGCAAATTAAAGAAATGTATAATGCTAACTTTCAAAACTAGGGATTGCCTCATAATTAAAGAATATGTCCTTTGGAAATAGGATAGAAGGATTATTTTGCTTTAGTTTAGCATAATAATATGTGGCAAAACAACAAAAAGTGAACAATAACAGCTACACTTATTGAGCATTTTTAATGTTCTATTTATATACATTATTTCATTTTTTGTTTAATTTCACAATAACTTTGTGGTAAATATTATTCTCATTTTTTAGATTAGCAAAGTGGGGATTAGAGAGGTTAAGGAGTTTCATTCATTCAATGCATAATTTTTGAGCGCTTAATGTTTTAAGAACTAGGAATATCACAGTGAGCAAAATGTGGAGCTTACAACCTGGAGGTTGGTGGGAATAGTAAATAAATAAACAAGTAAGTATGTACATAATGTCTGTTGCATTGAAGTGCTATGAAGAAAAGTTAGTGGGATAAGGGAAGAAAAGTGATGAGAGGGCCATATTAGGTTGGGTGGTCAAGGAGCGCTCTCTGAGGAGATGTCTGAACAGAGGTCTGGATGGAATAAGGAAGTGAGGTCAGTGTGAAAGGCATCCCTGGCTGGGGAAGTAGCAAGTGCTAAGGGGGGAAATAAGGAGGCCAGTGAGGCTGCAGCCAACAGAGCAAGGGAAAATCACTCAGGGCCATATTGGTGGGACAGGAAGCCACTGGGGGATTTGAGAGAACAGTGACACTCTGGTTTACATTTCTTCCTTAAGGTACTGTATGCAGAATAGACTGTAGAGGAACAAGAACAGAGGCCAGGTGACCTGTCAGAAGCCTATTGCTGTGGTCCAGGAAAAAATCTGTGTCTTGACTTAGGCTGATAATGGTGGAGGTGACAAGAAATGTCAGATTTGATACGTGTTTTGAGGAATTCATGCATGTTCACAGTGGTGTGGCCAGAGATGCGGTTATACTTTGAAGATGGAGCTGATAGGATTGTAAGAGGTCACAGAGCTGGTGCATGGTAGAGCCAGGATTCAAGTCTTAGTTTGTCTGATTCGAAAGCCCTGCTTTACAACAGTGCTTCTAAGCTGCCACAATGCTAAGCAGAAACTAAGCATAAAAGCAGAATGGAAATGAGAGTGTACAGCATCCTCAAGTGTTTATTGAGCATCTGCACACTTGTAGTGAGGCCTTGTGGCACTAAGCAAAAAATTCTGGAATGGGAGGATGGGAGGTCAGAGTTTAGATTCTGCTTTTGCCATGAATTCTTCCTCAGTATGGGTCACATCAATTCGAAAGTCCCTTCCAACTTTAATGCTCTGTTTCCACTCTTCAGCACCGAGGGAGATACAGCCAACTGTGTACAGTGCCACCCACTGGTATATAAGGGAAAGTAAGACTGGTAAGCATGTGATTTTTTTTTTTTTTTGAGACAGTTTTGCACTTGTTGCCCAAGCTGGAGTGCAATGGACCGATCTCGGCTCACTGCAACCTCTGCCCCCCAGGTTCAAGTGATTCTTCTGCCTCAGCCTCCCTAGTAATCCTAGTAGATGAGATTACAGGCACGCATCACCACGCCCGGCTAATTTTTTGTATTTTTAGTAGAGACAGGGTTTCACCATGTTGGCAAGGCTGGTCTCGAACTCCTGACCTCAGGTAATCTGCCCATGTCGGCCTCCCAAACTGCTGGGAATTACAGGAGTGAGCCACTGCGCCTCGCCAAGCATATGATTAACATAATGATCTATTGCAAAAGTAGGTGAGAGGTAGCAAGGCTAGGGAATATGTTTTCAGTTTCAATAAAATTTGCTTTATGGCCAGGTGCAGTGGCTCATGCCTGTAATCCCAGCACTTTGGGAGGCTGAGGCAGGCAGGCAGATCACCTGAGGTCAGGAGCTCAAGATCAGCCTGGCCAACATAGTGAAACCCTATCTCTACTGAAAGCACAAAAAATTAGCCAGGTGTGGTGGTGTGAGCCTGTAACCCTAGCTACTCGGGAGGCTGAGGCACAAGAATTGCCTGAATCCGGGAGGCAGAGGTTTCAGTGAGCCAAGATCACATCGCTGCACTCCAGCCTGTGTGACAGAGCGACACTCTGTCTCAAAAAAAAAAAAAAAAAAGAAAGAAAAAGGAAAAAAAATTGGTTTAGTAAAAGTATTTGGAGTCGGGCGTGGTGGCTCACGCCTGCAATTCCAGCATTGTGGGAGGCTGAGGCAGGTAGACGGCTTGAGGTCAGGAGTTTGAGACCAGCATGGCCAATATGGTGAAACCCCATCTCTACTACAAATACAAAAAAATAGCCAGGTGTGGTAGCATGCACCTGTAATCCCAGCTACTCGGGAGGCTGAGGCACAAGAATTGCTTGAACCTGGGAGGTGGAGCTTGCAGTGAGCCAAGGCCGAGATCCAGATTCGGCCACTGCACTCTAGCCTGGGTGACAGAGTGAGAATCTGTCCCCCCCCAAAAAAAGTATTTGATTTTAGAGTATTAAAGAGAAAGCAAGTCTATCTATATGCCATTCAAATTTACAGGCTATACTGAAATTTTGTCTTATTCAACCAAACATTCAAGTCTTCATTCTCTCAACAAGCATTTAAAACTGATTATTATGCATATTCAATCATAGTTATTGAGAAAATCTAGATGAAAGAGGACCTCGATAAAAAGTTAAAAAAAAAAAAGGTGCATGGTGGTCAGTGCCTGTAGTTCCAGCTGTTCAGGAGGCTGAAGCAGGAAGATCACTTGAGCCCCAGGAATTCAAGGCTACAATGAGCTATGTTCATACCTGTGAGAAGCCACTGCACTCCAGCCAGCCTGGGCAGCATAGCAAGATTGTCTCTAAAAAAAATTAAATGAAAAAAAGAAAAAGAGGACTTTTTAAGACTTTACATTAGACTTTTTTAGACTTTACAACAATCTTGTGAGGTATTATCATCCCCTTTTTTCTTTACATTATAAAATAAAACTTGGGCTGGGCATGGTGGCTCACGCCTGTAATCCCAGTACTTTGGGAGGCCAAGGTGGATGGATCACCTGAGGTCAGGAGTTCGAGACCAGACTGACTGACAAGGTGAAACCCCATCTCTACTAAAAATACAAAAATTAGCTGGGCATGGTGGCAGGCACCTGTAGTCCCAGCTTACTCGGGGGGCTGAGACAGGAGAATTGCTTGACCCCAGGAGGCAGAAGTTGCAGTAAGCTGAGATTGTGACACCACTCTAGCCTAAGCAACAGAGTGAGACTCTGTCTCAAAAAAAAAAAAACAAAAAACCACAAAAAACAGAAAAACCCCAAGAAACTTGAAGCAATTAAATTACTTGCTCAACGTGGCTCATTTGGTAAAGGAGTGAGCTCAGCGTTAAAATCTAAGTCTGTTGGACTTTTTGTCTCATCACATTAGATCCTATGAGAGCAATCGTGGTCCAACTGAGGCATCGACAGTATGTGTGCTCTATTAAGTACTCTGAAAGAACCCAGTGTAGGGTGGTCAATGATGTAGAATAGTCAGCAAACTTTTTCTGTAAAAGGCTGGATAGAGCCACATGCGGTGGCTTATGCCTGTAATCTTAGCACTTTGGGAGGCCAAGGTATGCAGATCACCTGAGGTCAGGAGTTTGAGTTCAAGACCAGCCTGGCCAACATGGTGAAGCCCCATCTCTACAAAAGATACAAAAGTTAGCCAGGTGTGGTGGCTCACACCTGTAGTCCCAGCTACTTGGGAAGCTGAGGCAGGAGAATCGCTTGAACCCAGCAGGCGGAGGTTGCGGTGAGCTGAGATCGTGCCACTGCACTCCAGCCTGGGCAACAGAGTGAGACTTGGTCTCAAAAAAAAAAAAAAAAAAAAAAGGCCTGGCACGGTGGTTCACGCCTGTAATCCCAGCACTTTGGGAGGCCGAGGCGGGTGGATCACAGTGTCGGGAGATCGAGACCATTCTGGCTAACACGGTGAAACCCCGTCTCTACTAAAAATACAGAAAAATTAGCCAGGCATGGTGGCAGGCATCTGTAGTCCCAGCTACTGGGGAGGCTGAGGCGGGAGAATGGTGTGAACCCTAGAGGCGGAGCATGCAGTGAGCCGAGATCGCGCCACTGCACTCCAGCCTGGGCGACGGAGCAAGACTCTGTCTCAAAAAAAAAAAAAAAAATGCTGGATAGTAAATATGTTACACTTTGCGGACAATCATGGTGTCTGTCACAGCTATTCAACTCTGCCCTTGTAGCATAAAAGCAGCCACAGATAATACATAAAGAAATTAGTGTGGCTGTGTTCTAATAATATTTTATTTATGGACACTGAAATACCTAAATTTCACATATCACAACATATGATTCTTTTGATTTTTTTTCAATTATTAGAAAATGTAAAAATCCATTCTTAGCTTGCAGGCCATACAAAAACAAGTTACAGTCTAGATTTAGTCTGTGGGCTGTTGTTTGGCAACCTCTGATCAAGAGACCAGACCAGTGCTGTCCAGTAGAACTATTTGTGATGATGGAAATGTTCTACATCTGTACTGTCCAATATGGTAGCCACTAGCCGTGTGTGCCTATTGAGCACCTGAAATGTGACTGTGCCACTAAGGAACTAAAAGTTCAATTTAGCCCTCCCTTTTCTTCCCCTAACCTTTATCATTTCTTTTTTTTTTTTTTCAGACGGAGTCTTGCTCTGTTGCCCAGGCTGGAGTGCAGTGGTGCGATCTCAGCTCACTGCAACCTCTGCCTCCCGGGTTCACGCCATTCTCCTGCCTCAGCCTCCCGAGTAGCTGGGACTACAGGCGCCCGCCACCACGCCCGGCTAATTTTTTGTATTTTTAGTAGAGACGGGGTTTCACCATGTTAGCCAGGATGGTCTCAATCTCCTGACCTCATGATCCGCCTGCCTCGGCCTCCCAAAGTGCTGGGATTACAGGCGTGAGCCACCGCGCCTGGCCCACCCTTATCATTTCTATAAGGATTAATGCACAGTTTCCCAACTGATCCTCTCCCCAGTTACACTTTCCCCCAGTCCATCCTTCACAAAGCTAGAGGGATTTTTCTAAAATAAAACAGGATCTTTGTACTTTTCCAAGGTCATGGTTCTTGCAAAACTTGAGAAAATCCATCCTGCTAGCATACCATATACATTTTTTTCCCCTAGGAAATGATAGAGGTAAAATACCTTCTGTTTGATCAGACAATTGACCGTAAGTTTCTTTTTTTTTTTGAGACGGAGTTTTGCTCGGTCACCCAGGCTAGAGTGCAATGGCGCGATCTCGGCTCACTGCAACCTCTGCCTCCCAGGTTCAAGTGATTCTCCTGCCTCAGCCTCCTGAGTAGCTGGGATTACAGGCACCCACCATTGTGCCCGGCTAATTTTTGTATTTTTGTAGAGACGGGGTTTCACCATGTTGGCCAGGCCGGTCTTAAAACTCCTGACCTCAGGTGATCCACCTGCCTCTGCCTCCCAAAGTGTTGGGATGACAGGCGTGAGTCACCGTGCCTGGCCGGTAAGTTTCTTGAGAGTGGTCTTTCATCATACCTTGTCCCCTTTAATGTTTTGCATAGTGGCTTGCTGAATGATGTAGTGAAGAAAACTTGGCTTTGGAGATGGCAACCTTAAATTAGAACTCCATTTCTTGTACATGCTAGCAGTCACCCGAGGCACTTAATTACCTTGAAGCTCACTATACTTCCGTGCTAAATGGGAATCATGATAACTGTATCACAGAGTTATTGTGAAGATCAACAAATGAGTTTTATGGAAATCCTTTGCACTTTATAAAAGGTGATACAAGTGTTAGCTGTTATAATAAGTATTGAGCATTGAAATGTTTCTAAAAAACAATACTATTCTGATTTTACCCAACATATATTCCCCCCTGGCTTTTTTTTTTTAGATGGAGTCTCGCTCTGTTGCCCAGGCTGGAGTGCAATGGCGTGATCTCAGCTCACTGCAACCTCTGCCTCCTGGGTTCGAGTGATTATCCTGCCTCAGCCTCCCCGAGTAGCTGGGATTACAGGCGCCTGCCACCATGCCCAGCTAATTTTTGTAGTTTTAGTAGAGACCGGGTTTTACCATGCTGGCCAGGCTGGTCTCGAACTCCTGACCTCAGGCGATCCGCCCATCTTGGCCTCCCAAAGTGCTGGGATTACAGGCATGAGCCACCGTGACCGGACATATATTCTCATTTTTAAAGGCAATCTGTACGAGGTAACACTAGGGATATAGGACCTAGATGTTCAAGTGAAAGGAGGATAAAAAAAGAACAATTTTGGCCTATGTATTCCAAATACATCTTTGATTTATGCATTTTCCATGTTTAGGCCTAAGACTGTGCTTTCTTCACTTTTGTTTCTCTAAACAAAATAGTTTCAGCAATACCAATGTATAGTTGATTCTTGAAAGTTTTGTGTTTTTTTTTTTTTTTTTTAGACGGAGTCTCGCTTTATTGGCAGGCTGGAGGGCAGTGGCACCATCCCCGCTCACCACAACCTCCATCTCCTGGGTTCAAGCAATCATCGTGCCTCAGCCTCCGGAGTAGCTGGGATTACAGGCACACGCCACTACCGCCCGGCTAATTTTTGTATTTTTTGTAGAGATGGGGTTTCACCATATTGGCCAGGCTGGTCTTGAACTCCTGACGTTTGGTGATCCACCCGCCTTGGCCTCCCAAAGTGCTGGGATTACAGGCATGAGCCACCGCGCCCGGCCGATTCTTGGAAGTTTAATAAAAGGCCGGGTGCAATGGCTCACGCCTGTAATCCTAGCACTTTGAGAGGCTGAGGCCAGTGGATCACCTGATGTCAGGAGTGCAAGACCAGCCTGGCCAACATGGTGAAACCCCGTCTCTACCAAAAATATAGAAAAAGTTTGCTGGGTGTGGTGGCACGTGCCCGTAATCCCAGCTACTCGGAAGGCCGAGGCAGGAGAATCGCTTGAATCCGGGAGGCGGAGGTTGTGGTGAGCCGAGATCTCATCATTGCACTCCAACCCGGGCGACAGAGTAATACTCCGTCTCAATTTAAAAAAAAAAAGTTTAATAACAATGATATATGAGCAAGTCAGAATGAAAGAAAAAGCAGTAATATTTTAAAGCATCTACAAGGACTTTTTATTTTCTTTTGAGATGGAGTCTCAGTCTCTTTCCCAGGCTGTAATGAAGTGGCACTGTCTCCCTGCAACCTCCATCTCCCAGGTTCAGGCGATTCTCCTGCCTCAGCCTCTGGAGTAGCTGGGATTATAGGCAGGTGCCACTACACCCGGCTAATTCTTGTATTTTTAGTAGAGACAGGGTTTCACCATGTTGGCCAGGCTGGTCTTGAACTCCTGACCTCAGGTTATCCGCCTTCCTCGGCCCCCCAAATTGCTGGTATAACAGGAGTGAGCCTCTGTGCCTGGTCTACAGGGACTTTTAAAAGGAGACTTTCTCAATGAATTCTAGAAGTAGTAGTAGATAGTACTGCTATTAGGTAGACAAGGTAAAAAAAAAAGATGTTATCAGATGGGAAAAGTGGGCAAAGGGACAATTTAAGCTCACATAGATGGGAAGTGTTCTTTTCCCTTCCTTAGGCACATCCTGGCATATAGGATTTCTAAGACTAAGTATACTTTTCATCAGACCATATTACACTTCCGGATGGATTTATATCAATACTTCATTCTCAGTTCTTGAAATTATTGTGACTCCATCACCTCACAAAATGCAAAAAGAGACATTGTTTATGGTTCGTATGCTTTTTTTTTCCTGTAAAGGGAGGTAAAGATTTATTATACACCTTGAACTTTAAACTTTCCAAAGCACTTAATAGATCTGTTTCAGAACACTTTTTCCTCAGCCTCCTGAGTAGCTGGGATGACAGGTGCGCGCCACGACATCCGGATAATTTTTGTATTTTTTGTAGAGATGGGATTTCCCCATGTTGCCCAGGGTGGTCTCAAACTCCCGGGCTCAAGCAATCCTCCCAACTTCACTTCCCAAAGTGCTGGTATTATGAGGGTGAGCCATCGTCCCGGTCTTCAGAACACATTATATTGTATGCAAATGTCTATAAAACCCGCTCCGCTACTTCTTGGAAGACAAGGACTCATCTTTATTATTTCATATTTATATTTAAATGTGTTATTTTACTTATCTTTATATGTTTGTCTCACACACCTGAGTTGTTGGCATTTAGCAGACTACACTAGCAAACTGGTGGCTGTTCCTGCTTGTTCCTTGTGGTGTTCAAGTTTGCAATTCCTACTAAGCGCTCAGCAAATTCATACTGAAGACATGAATGATATGCCTAGGGTAGTCAGGATGATTCCTTAACCACTCATTCACTGGCATCTGAACACTATCTTTCAGCTGGAGAGAGGTACTGCTGGTTGGGACCCTCAAGCCCCAAAGCTCCCAGGCAACAAGCCCTGCAGCCAGCCCTGAATTTCCTTTCTCCCTGAGACCTCAGCCTCTAATCCTCGTGGGTATTTTCTTTGAAACCACTCTGCAGTTTGCATAGGCTTTGGTATATTTTAGATATTCTTCAAAATTATTATTATTATTATTATTATTGTTGGGCTTTTTTTTGGTAGAGTCAGGGTCTCACTTTATTGTCAAGGCTGGTCCTGAACTCCTCGCTTCAAGAGATCCTCCTCAACCTCCCAGAGTGCTGGGATTACAGGTGAGCCACCGCGCCCATATTCTTTAAATTTTAAATTTAACAATCTAAGATAACTTTTTATATCTTTATTACAGATATCTCCCCAAGAGGAAGATCCTGGAGGAGAGAAAGAGAGGGGTTTGGAGAGGAGACACTGGTTATCTTAGTGGGGGAAATCTGGTCACTTTCCAGAAAGAGCAATTCCTATGGTGGGCGGGGGCGATTGGAAGCTGAGGACGCCACGTGACCTCTGGCTCCGGGGGCTGAGCCGACCCCGCCTCTCCGCCCGCCGCCGGGGGGCGCATGCGCAGCCCATGTTAGTGATGGAGGAGAGAAGATGGCGGAAGCGGAGTGAGTGACTAGATGGTGACTGATGTCGTAACTAGGGGGGGCGAGTTGGGGCAGCGACACGTTCCCCCAGGGGAAAGCTCAGGGCTCTTTTGCGGGCAGTGTGGGGAAAGAGAGACTCGAGACCCGTCCTATCGTGGAGGAGCCGGCTAGGCCCGTGTCGCGGGGCGAAGACGAACTCTAGGGTCCAGTTACCCTCCAGGCAGGAGCGCCCCTTCCGCCATCAGGTCCCGGATCTGCGCGGCCCTGCGCGCAGGGTCACCCTTGGGACTCCGGGAGCTGGGGTTTTCCGGGGAACGAGCCCGGGTGGGCTCCTCAGGCGCTGTCATTCCTGCAAGTGGGCCCCGCGGGCAGCCTTGTTACGGCTGCCTGCGCAGGGGCCCGCGGAGGCTGGGTAGGGCAGGGCGGGCACTGCCAGGCCTCCTTCGCCTTCTTCTCCTTCCCGCCCCGGCGCCACCCCACTCCTCCTCAGCGGGAGAATCCGACACGCGGGGCTGCCCGCTTCCCTCGTGCCGGAGGCATCCCGGCGTGGGCCTGAGAGCGGCGGGGGCTGCTTGCAGGTCTGGTGAGGCTGAAAACACCCTGAAAGAAAGGTCTTTCCCTCGATTCTCTGGGTGCAGCGTTGCTGCCTCACACGCGGGCCACATTCTTGTGTGTCGGTGTGACGGTATGTTTAGTTAACGACTCCAGAACTTACTGTTTCCTGGGTAGGCCTCTTGTGCACCAGAACTGCTGGCTGTATTTTGCAGGTATTAGTATGCCTAGACGGTGGAGTTACCAAAGTTGTTCTTTTGTGCCAGGCCTCGAAATGCAGTGCGATGGTTTGGCCAGTTCCGCTCAACCGATGTTTAGACTTATGCCGAGAATTTGGATTCTCTGTGACCATTTTTGGTTAGGAGTTAGAACTGTTTACCATACTGTTTGGATTGGAGGGCATAGTTGAGCAGATTAACACTTTTAAAAAACCAGAACTTAAGCTGGCCTTTTGCATGTCACTGGTACACGATACGGTAGTAGTATGACAGGCAGCAGTTCGGTAAAAAGTTTACCTTACCTACCACTAATACTGTATAATGTTGAACAGTTACCATATGATGCTGTGATTTGATTGGAAGGCAGTTTGGAAAAAAAAAAAAAAAACAGAAGCATAAAAATGTATGAATTATTTACTAATCCAAAAAGTAAGTGAGGAGTCAGCTTTCTTCCTGACGGTTTTCCTTTCACTTTTCCTCTTATTTTCTTTTTCTTTCTTTGTGACAGCGTCTCTCACTCTTATCTCCCAGGCTGGAGTGCAGTGGCACGATCATAGCTCACTGCAGCCTGGCCCTCTTGGGCTCAAGCGATTTCCCCACCTTAGCCTCTCAAGTTGCTGGGACCACAGTCCTGTGCCACCAGGCCTGGCTAATTTTTTATTTTTCATTTGTAGAGACAGGGTTTCCCTATGTTGCCCAGGCTGGCTTTGAACGCCTAAGCTCAAGCAGTCCTCCCCCTGAGTGGTAGGATGACAGGTGTGAACCGCCACTCAAGGCCCCCACTTTTCCTTTTTTTTTTTTTTTGTTCGGTTTTTTTTTACATTTGGTTCCTCAGAGAATATAAATACTGTTTACATACGTAATATAGAACAAAGAAAATTTGTACTTAAAAAAGCAACGCTATGGTAATAGTGTATGTGTACCAATTAGTGCCAGATTCATTTGTTTTTTCATGGAATAGAAAGTGTTCTTACATTTTTATCAGTGCTGCTAATGTGGGGTGGGTGGGATTTAGTTTCTCAGAAGAAAAGACCGATAAGAAAAGGGAGATAAAACCAGTATAATCTCTTGTGTGCTTTTCACCTTCGAGGTACATTTCTGGCCCGACAAAAACTACTGCTCTTCTGGTTTCTAACAATATGGAGGTCCTTAGAATTGACTTAAAGTGTTTGAATTTATTCAAATACAGATTCTGTATTTAGTGGAATTTTGTACCACAACAAGTAAGATTATAGTATTGGAGGGAAGAAAGTCTGGTATAAAAGTGTACTTTACTGTCCATACATGAGGAAGTGACATAATTTATGTTTTCAAAATCTGGAGTAATTCTTTGTGAAAAAGATTTTGTAAGGGTATGGGAAGTTGCTGTTTGCTGCTTCTCTGTGTTCTCACAGCAATCTGCTAATAAGTATAACTCAGCTATTAGAAGTAGTAAGGACAGCGTTGTAGACTGATTAGGGGAAAAGCCAGTGTGAGTTAAAAAAATTACTTTTTAACATTTTTTAAAAAGAACTTATTTTTAAGCAAAGTTTATATGGTAAACTAAACTAAGCTAGTTAACATGAGTCCCTAGGCATTCTGTTCTAATGTATAGGTAAGAATGACTTTAGTTTGTAATTAGTGTGGTCAAAAGAATGTAAAGAAATGTTTTAAAATACTCTGATACTGCTTAAATTTTTATTTTCCTAGGTAGTTTAGTATTCTCTCATTACCTGTTTTGGTTTAAAAAAAATCTTTCGGTAATGCAAAGATAAACTTTTGGCTATGCGTTATCTGAGTTACGTATTCTGAATCATTTGAATTCAAATGTAGTAGGTATTAACTATTAAATATGCTCCATATATGTGAAGTATTTTTCCCTTCTAAGTGCTTATAGTGACTGTGTGTTGGCTGTCTTTTATGAGAGCCTTCCTAGCAGTTTAGATTACTGCTGATTATTTCTTTGGAATGAATATTCTTTAAAGCTCATAAGATAATGCTTTTACCAATACAAACACTTTGTGTGACCTGCCAGATTTAAGGACCATAGTACAGCTATGGATACTGAACCAAACCCGGGAACATCTTCTGTGTCAACAACAACCAGCAGTACCACCACCACCACCATCACCACTTCCTCCTCTCGAATGCAGCAGCCACAGATCTCTGTCTACAGTGGTTCAGACCGACATGCTGTACAGGTATTTCAGCTGTAGTGATGGGTAGTCTAAGACTTAAGATGTCATATTACTTTTTGCTTAAGCTGGATTTATGTATTGTTTCATATTCTCAAATGTACAGTTAGAATTACTAATGTTTCAATCAACTGTCTCAATCCATTTTGTGTGGCTATAGCAGAATACCAAGACTGTGTAATTGTAAAGAAAAGAAACTTATTTCTTACATTTCTGGAAGCTGGGAAGTCTAATATGAAGGAGCTGGCATCTCACGAGGGCCGTCTTATTGCCTCATTCCGTGGTGGAAGACTAGAGAGCAAGATACCAAATTTGCAGCCTCAAGCCCTTTTAAAATTTCCTTTAGTCGGCCGGGCGCGGTGGCTCACGCCTGTAATCCCAGCACTTTGGGAGGCCGAGGCGGGCGGATCACGAGGTCAGGAGATCGAGACCACGGTGAAACCCCGTCTCTACTAAAAATACAAAAAATTAGCCGGGCGCAGTGGCGGGCGCCTGTAGTCCCAGCTACTCGGGAGGCTGAGGCAGGAGAATGGCGTGAACCCGGAAGGCGGAGCTTGCAGTGAGCGGAGATCGCGCCACAGCACTCCCGCCTGAGCGACAGAACGAGACTCCGTCTCAAAAAAAAAAAAAAAAAAAAATTTTCCTTTAGTCTATTCATGTGGGCGGAGTCCTTATGGCCTAATCACCCTTCAGGGGTCCTACCTCTTAACACTGTTGCATTGGAGATTAAGTTTCCAACACATACTTAATTGGGGGACACATTTAACCACAGCAACAGCCAACAAAGTTAATTAATAATCATACTATTGGCTAGGCGTGGTGGCTCACGCCTGTAATCCCAACACTGTGGGAGACCAAGGCAGGGAGATAGCTTGAGCTTAGGAGTTGGAGACTGGCTGGGACAACATGTTGAAACCCCATCTCTACAAAAAATACAAAAATCAGCAGGGCATGGTGGCATGTGCCAGTGGTCCCAGCTACTCAGGAGGCTGAGGTGGGAGGATTGCTTGAGCCCAGGAGGTCAAGGCTGCAATGAGCTGTGATCGCACCACTGTACTCCAGTCTAGGTGACAGAGTGAGACCCTGTCTCAAAAAAAAAAAAAAAAAAAAAATGCTGGGCGTGGTGGCTCACACTTCTAATCCCAGCGCTTTGGGAGACCAAGGCTGGCGGATCACTTGAGGTCAGGTGTTTGAGACCAGCCTGATCAACATGGTGAAACCCCGTCTCTACTAAGAATACAAAAATTAGCCAGGCATGGTAATGCATACCTGTAATCCCAGCTACTTGGGAGGCTGAGGCAGGAGTATCACTTGAACCCTGGCGGCAGAGGTTGCAGTGAGCCAAGATAGCGCCACTGCACTCCAGCCTGGGCAAAAAGAGTGAGACTCCATCTCAAAATATATATATATAGTATTGAGAGGGCTTACATTTGTCAGCATGTAGTTTATAGGATTATGTGTAAAGAAAATTATAAGGGGAAAGTCTCTAGGTGCTGCTACAGTATGAAGGCATTCAACCTAGAGCCCCAACATACAGAATGGTTGTAGCTTTATTTTATATTGGAACTCAAAATATAGACTTAGGGAGATCTGTTCAGGTATGTAGATATGTTACGAAGTTTATATTAAACCCAGGTGGCCTAAGAACCCTAAGCAGGAGGATCCATTCTAAATACCTTAGGGGCAGAGGGGGAAGGGAATATTGAACTAGGAAGTCACTTAGTTGAGAAAGTAAAGTTTACTTAGTTAACATTTATGATAATGGAGGTTGGGGCAATATGGTATTATATAAAAAGGGCATGGACCTTCCACTCTATTATACTTTGTTTGAATTCCATTTTCATTATCTTTAGGAGCTATATAGCCTTGGGTATGAGACATAATCCCCTTGAGCCTCAGAAAACTAAAATGAGGGTGAGACTACTTCTTTCATTAATTACTCTGAGGATTAAATGAAGTATCTTTGAGATTAATGAAGTATCTAGAACTGTGTAAGGCACATTATAGGTTTCCAGTAGATAGTAATAGCTAATACTTATTGAATAATTGCTACGTGCCAAACATTTGATAAATGTTACATGAATTATCTCCATTAATCATTACCAGCCCTCTGTGAAGTAGCTATTATTATTATCTCCATTTTACTGATGGGAAAATAAATGTTTTAAATCAGCTAAATAACTTTCCCAAACTCACCTAGCTAGTTCTCAGACTTCAGCCCTTGTGCCCTTAACCACTCTGTGAATTCTTATTTTTTCTATTATACCTGCTTTCTTCTGGTAGAATCCTTATAATTGCATCCACCCTGAAAACAACTGCTTGCAATATAGTCCTTCCTCTGCTCCATTTTTCCATGGTGGATACCCCAGTATAATGTCTATTTAACTGTTTTTGGTTTAGGATTTAGTTTTCCAAAATCACTGTGGAGTGGAACCAGCCAGTTCACCAGAAATTCAAACTTGAATGCAGAGTGAGGTTTTAATGTTTTTTACCTTTCTCTGAGGTAAGGGATACAGGGAAAAGGATTTAGATCTTTTTTTTTTTTTTTTTTTTGAGACCGAGTCTCGCTCTATCGCCCAGGCTGGAGTGCGGTGGCGTGATCTAGGCTCACTGCAACCTCTGCCTCCCAGGTTCAAGCGATTCTCCTGCTTCAGCCTCCAGAACAGCTGGGACTACAGGCATGTGCCAGCAGATCCAGCTAATTTTTGTATTTTTAGTAAAGATGGGGTTTCACCATATTGGTCAGGCCGGTCTCAAACTCCTGACCTTGTGATCCACCTGCCTTGGCCTCCCAAAGTGCTAGGATCACAGGCATGAGCTACCGTGCCCGGCCGGGTTTTGTTTTTTTTTTTTTTGAGACTGAGTCTTGCCCTGTAGCCCACGCTGGAGTGCAGTGGCGCGATCTTGGCTCACTGCAACCTCTGCCTCCCTGGTCCAAGCGATTCTCCTGCCTCAGCCTCCTGAGTAGCTGGGACTACAGGCACGTGCCACCACACCCAGCTAATTTTTTGTATTTTTAGTAGAGATGGGGCTTCACCATGTTAGCCAGGATGGTCTCAATCTCTTGAGCTGGTAATCCGCCCGCCTCGGCCTCCCAAAGTGCTGGGATTATAGGCGTGAGCCACTGCGCCTGGCCCCCCCCTTTTTTTTTTTTTCTTCTCTCCCTCTGTGTTGCCTAGGCTGGAGTCCAGTGGCATGATCACAACTCACGACCCCCTGGGCTCAAGTGCTCCTCCTGCTTCAGCCTCCTGAGTAGTTGAGACTACAGGCACATGTGACTATGCTTGGCTAATTTTTTTATTTTGTAGAGACAGGATCTCACTATGTCGCCCAGGCTAGTCTTGACCTTCTGGCTTTAAGCTCTCCTCCTGCCTTAGCCTCCCAAAGTGCTGGGATGAGCCACCACGCCTGACTGATAATGTGATCGCTTAATATACCATTTTGTCCTCTAGTTTTCAATTAAGCTGCATAGATTAATAAAAAATTAATAGAAAGATATGTAGATGTAGATATATCTCATAAATAGCACTGACTCTGTTTCTTATGAGACCATAGAATTGCTTCTCCCAAAATGAAATCAAATCAATATTTATTGAACTACCTAAGTAATTCTTTAATCTTCCAGCTTGCTTTTTCTGTCCTGGGAATTCTCTTCACCCTCCTTGGGTGAATAAGAATTTATAATAAATAAGAACAATTTGCTGTATCTATAACTTGTATTTACTCATTGCTGTGAGTAATTGAATAGTAGTGAAAGACTGTGCTGACAACAGAAAAAATGAGTATACTCTGACAAAAGTATGTGTCAAATAGATTGTTATTTCAGTTTGATTTTAGAATTTTTTTCCGTATACAGTCCAGTGCTTTTAGAATTTTGTTATGGAATTAGAAGAACAAATAGAGATTGATCTGACTAAAAAAGGTATATTGTTATAATTCTGAATCACTTAATGCTGGCCTATAGTCCCCTGCAGGTAGAGGTCAAAAGCTCCCATTGATTTTGTGACAGAAATTTGTATCAGGCATAGTAGTCTATAGTTGGAGAGGTGAGATATTAACACATGAAAATAAACAATAACACACAGAAATATGCTGTCTTGAAGTTTAGATAAAAGGATTCATGGCATTATGGCTCAAGATGTCCTGAGAGACCCTCAAGCTATAGGATTATGGCACTATTACTCCCTTAGCTCTTTGAAAACTCTGGTTTGATGCTGCGATTAGGGTTCTGTGCTGTTTCAGAGTCACAGTGAGCACAATGTGACTTTCGGATTTGGTTGTATAGGATTGACTTATTCTGACTTAACCTTTTGGAGAAATGTAAGAATTTTCTCTGATTTTAGTAGAGTACTTGACTTTTCTATATTTATTTATGAAGTTTCAGGCTCAGATTTTACATTTTACTAACAAATATTCACAGTAATTAACACTTTTTAAGGAATTAAGTAAGAATAGTTTTATTCAATGTTGAAGCAAAACAAGGTATTTGACATTTAAAAATTTTTTAAATTATTGAGTAATTTTCTAAAGAAGAAATAGCTTTATAATTTTATTTTTTATTTTTATTTTATTATTATTATTTTTTTGAGATGGGGTCTTGCTCTGTCGTCTAGGCTGGAGTGCAGTGGCATGATCTCTGGTCACTGCAGCCTCCACCTCCTGGGTTCAAGCAGTTCTCCCACCTGAGCCTCCTGAGTATCTGGGATTACAGGTGCATGCCACCATGCCTGGCCAAGTTTTGTATTTTTAGTAGAGACAGGGTTTCACTATGTTGGCCAGGCTAGTCTTGAACTCCTGACCTCAGGTGACCTGCCTGCCTTGGCCTCCCAAAGTGGTGGGATCACAGGCATGAGCCAACCTGCCCAGCTGCTTTGTAATTTTATATGATTATTAATAATACCTGCTCATTGTAAGATTTTCAGACATCTATAGAAGAGTATGAAGTAGAAGCTAAAAATCACCTCTAATCTAGCTACCCATCAGTGGTCTTTGAAAGTTTTCCTGTGGATTCTTTCAAATATTTTAATATAAAAATGGTATCTTACTCTATATACTATTTTGTAACCCACTGATTTTCTTTTTGTTAGTAAATATAGATCGGTATCAGCAATGTACACTATAGTGGCCAGTAGTTACTTGTGGCTGTTTACATTAAAATTAAAATTAATTAAAATTCAATTTAAAATTAACTCAATTCTTTAGTTGCACTAACCACATTTTAAGTGCTCAGTAGGCACATGTGACTAGTTGTTACTGTATAGGACAGCACTGATCTACATTACTATTTGTTATGGTTGCATGGTAAAGGTATTTCTCTCCACACCCAAGCCCTGAATTCTACGAAGTTTTATCCAAAAAGGTTATGCCAACTTGAATTTTTACTAGCAATATGGGAGTATTGGTTTCCCCAGGTAGTAGTAGTATTCTTTTAAATCTTTATCCATCTGAAAGTTGGAAAACAGTATCTTGTTTTAATTTGTAAGTTTTTGACTACTGGTGAGATTGAAAATCTTTTGAAATGCTTAGTTGGCCTGGCCTGTCTTTTGCGAATTGTCCACTGGGTTTTGTTTTGTTTTTTTTTTTTTGAGATGGGAGTCTTGCTGTGTCGCCCAGGCTGGAGTGCAGTGGCATGATCTTGGCTCAACTGCAGCCTTCACCTCACAGGTTCAAGCGATTCTCCTGCCTCAGCCTCCCGAGTAGCTGGGGCTACAGGCATGTGCCACCATGCCTGGCTAATTTTTTGTGTTTTTAGTAGAGACGGGGTTTCACCATGTTAGCCAGGATGGTCTTGATCTCCTGACCTTGTGATCCGCCCACCTCGGCCTCCCAAAGTGCTGGAATTAACAGGCGTGAGCCACCGTGCCCGGCCCACTGGGTAGTTTTAATGTGTACAAGTTAGTGATTTCTAGTGATATGTAACTAGGAAAGAAATAATGTTAATAAGCTTGATGATATTATGTATTAAAGCAGTGAAATTTTAAACTGCCACTTTTTTATACTTTGATTTTCTGATTAAGATAAAGGTTGAGATTATGGTTTGACATTGGTTCAATTGACTTATCACAGGTAATTCAACAGGCATTGCATCGGCCCCCCAGCTCAGCTGCTCAGTACCTTCAGCAAATGTATGCAGCCCAACAACAGCACTTGATGCTGCATACTGCAGCTCTTCAGCAGCAGCATTTAAGCAGCTCCCAGCTTCAGAGCCTTGCTGCTGTTCAGGTAAGACTAAAATAAGAGTTTATGAGATCAAAGTTTCTGTTATCTGTAGGTAGTTACTGAAAATAAATAGATTGGGTATTATTTCAGAGTTCTCAGATGTCCTGTGGTTATTTTTCCCGGAGGAAATATATTAATAGGTTGCCGAATAGAAGTTAATTGAGAAAAAGGGGATATGTTTTTTTATGTTACTCTGTTTCTAGCTTTTGTCTCAGTGCTTTTTATCCAGATTGAAGAAATGCTATGCTAGTTTATGTGTATAAAGTTCTAGGTACAACAGTGAGTACTTAGGCTTACATAAATTGTATTTTTACTAAAAATAAGATTAAAAAAATTATATAAGTAATTATACTCATTAAAAAATCAAACAATATTAAGTTGTTTATAAGAGATAAAGTAAAGCTGTTCCTTTTCCCTGTCTATCACTGTTTCCCGTTCTTCAAAGGTGGCCACAGTAACAATCTAATACATATTTCTCCAGAAATTTTTTATACAAAGATAGGTATATCCATTTTTCTAAAATCCAATCATATTATTCCTACTGATAACAGGATTTCATTATTAAATGCTTGTTTTTAAAAAAGATTTTTGTTACTATTGTACTATTTAAATAAAGCTGTGTAAGATTTAATCTTAAATCCCCTCACCAGAGGAGGATCTCAATTGACTGAACCTGAAAAAGGTTTATTTCTGTTACCAACAGATTCTCAGCTGTTGCTTCTTAGTAGTGTAATTTTTAAATAACATGTTTGTGATACAAGTTAGGAAACTGAAACCCACTCACTGGCTCTTGCTGTAGCTCTAATTTCTTTTTCATAACTCTGGAGTAGTGATTCCACTTTAAAGATGACAGAGACCCATAAAGTGAAACTGACAATAAAGTAGCTAATAAAATAAGATTAGTCTTTGGATCCCCTGTTTTCACCATTCAGCTTTTCCTTATTTAAAAAATCTGTTTAACCGAAGCTTAAGCCATGTTGACTATAAAATTAGTTGTTTCATACATAGGCCTTTTGACATTTATTGTTGTGGTTTTGTGTTATCATGGTACCAGAAAGTTCTTAACTTCAGGTTTTTACCGACATATTCTAAAAGTCTTACTATTTTAGGCAAGTTTGTCCAGTGGAAGACCATCTACATCTCCCACAGGAAGTGTCACACAGCAGTCAAGTATGTCCCAAACGTCTGTAAGTTCCCTAAATTTTTTTTTCCTGGATTTAAAATTTTAAAGAATTGTTTTCCAAAAGTAAACTGTTGTTATTTATGAAGCTGTTATTATAATTTGTTGCATGCTGTTTAAAGTAACAATTGCCCAGAAATAGAAATGATAAAATTCAAGAATTCAGAACTAATGTTAAACTTATGAAAATCTGAGTCTTAAAAAAATCTTTTTGTATTATTTCTTGTATATCCATTTGCACTGATCATGTTCAGATCTTATGTGGTTTCAGCTTTCTGTGTGTATTGAAAGCCTAAAATATACAATGCAGGGATATTGGCCATGAATTTACTGTGATATACAATAGTATGTCATGTCCTTGGTAGACATCTAAGCATTTCTAACTTTGTGCAATTCACATTTTAGAAATTATACTTTCAGCTTACATGAGTTATTTGGGTTCAATTTGCAAGTATCCATTCAAGATAGGGTAATTTATTTTGAGAAAGGAGTAAAAGAAAGCTGATTCGCTATATTGCACATATATATTGGGAAATTGTGCCAAGTTTCCCAGGTAAAATAAATTTATGGGCATGGTAATACTTGTTTAGCTTTTAATTTTGGTATAATTTTAAACTGCAATAATAATAAAAAAATTTCTGTATCTACTCTACTCAGATTAATCAATTATTGCATATTGCCCCATTACTTTATCATTCATTCTTTTCCACTACATGTATACATATTTTTTTCTGAGTCATTTGTAAGTTGAGATATGTTCCTTTATTCCTAAATACTTTGATGTGTATTTCCTAAGAACAAGGCTATTGTTTTTTGAAGCCACAGAAAAATTACTAAATTCAGGAAATATAACATTGATACAGTGCAGTTCATTTTCACATTTCATCATTTGTCTCAGGTTTCCCAACCTCATCACTATGGACATTATGAGCCAGATAATTCTTTGTTGTCAGGGGCTATCGTGTAATTTATAGGATGTTTAGCAGCATCCCTGGCTACTAGATGCCGGCAGCTTGTGGTCTTTCTCCTTCCTCTAGTGTGACAACTATAGGTGTTTCCTGGTGGGGGGCAAACTGCCTGTAGTTGAGAACCTAATAATGTCCTTTCTAGATATTTTTTCCTGGTCCAGAATGGTAATACTTTGATACTTCATAAAATTGGCTCCAATACAATATAGTTTGTAGGTTGTTAAGGAATTGAAGGTTAAGGAATTGTGCTCTATTTCTTCAGCTAAGGGTATGGTCTTTGCTAACTACATGCTGTGGTCAGCATATAGCTGTGGTTTTTTTTGTTGTTTGGTTTTTTTTTCTGGCTGTTGATCTGACTTTTTTTTTTTGGCGTGGGAATGTCCTGGAGTGTGAACAAGATTAGTTTAAAAAGTTCCCTATGACTTGAAGATGTTAGATTAAATGAAAAACTTAAATAATGTAACCTAGCTCTTAAGCATTAATACTGGAGTTTTTGTCATTGACATCAGATGTCTTTAATACAATGGTAATTAAGGAAAGGAGTGGTAAATATTTTGTGGGCTACTGAAGGAAATTATATAGACAAATTCTTTATTCTGTGAAATACTGGAATAACAATAGGATGTATTTGTATAGATATGTTATTTTGAATTTTTTTCCTTCATGTTATTAAAAGGTATCTTTTTAAACTGTCTTTCATTATGGCTTTATGTATGTGACATTCACAGAAGTTAGAATTCTAGTGATTGTGCTTATATATATGACATTGTTAATGTTACTTGTCATAAACCAGCAGCATTATACCATGAAGTATGCCAAAAGCTGTAAATGGCTGGTGGGGGAAGATAAGTAAGTAGGAAGAACAGATTCCCAGTAAAATAAAGGAATAATACATTACATTTGCTTTATTTACTATCCGTTGTGAGCTTCTGCTCAAGTAATTTGACTAGCAGTAAAAATTACAATGCCCAAGGTAACTTAGTAAATTTAGGTCAATATCCAAAAACGGGGGGGAGCATGGTAACAGATCTCTTAAGTAGTGATGATAATGAGCCATCAGGTAACAGACTAGTAGTTTTCAGAGTTTTGATTATTTTGAGTTAGGTTTCCAGATAACAGTGAAGCCGTGGGAAAGGGTCCATTCTCCAGAAGAAAAAACAGCTGTCAGGTAACCAGCTAGGTAGTTGGGGCTTAGAGTAGGAGTGGGATCCCAATGGGGAAATGGAATATTATTTTAAAAATCAAGTCCAAAGTCCAGTCATACCACCTGGGGGAACTGTGTACCTACTGATTGATTATTCCTAATATGAAAACCCGAAATGCTCTAAAATCTGAAATTTTTGCACACCAACATGACATTCAAAGGAGGAGTGTTCATTGGAACATTTTGGATTTTGGATTTTTAGATTTGGCATGCTAAACCAGTTTGTATCTTTCCAAAATCTGAAAAAAAAAAAAAAATCCGAAACACTTCTGGTCGCAAGGATTTCATATAACAGATACTCCATCTATATGTGGTTTGGAGAGTAGACTTGTTAATTGAATGTATAGGTAACGAGTGGGTACCTGCATTCTTTTCTTTTCTCTAATTAGAATCATGACTAATTCTACACTATTGTCAGTAGTGGAGTGGTGATTTTTTTTTTTTTTTTTTTTTTGAGACGGAGTCTCGCTCTGTCTCCCAGGCTGGAGTGCAGTGGCGTGATCTCGGCTCACCGCAAGCTCCGCCTCCCGAGTTCACGCCATTCTCCTGCATCAGCCTCCTGAGTAGCTGGGACTACAGGCGCCCGCCACCGCACCCTGCTAATTTTTTAGAGATGGGATTTCACCGTCTTAGCCATGATGGTCTCAATCTCTTGACCTTGTGATCCACCTGCCTCGGCCTCCCAAAGTGCTGGGATTACAGGCGTGAGCCACCGTGCCCGGCCGTGGAGTGGTGATTTTATGATTGTTTGGCTCTAAAACTAATTCGGACTGAGCCTTTAGGTTTATGTCTTTAGTATTTCAACTTAAATGGAGCAAAGATCTAGTTAAATTTTAAAATGGAAGTTAAACCAACTAAAAATTCTACTTCTGCCAAAAAACGGCATAAGCAAAGTGAAAACAGCAAAATGGGAGAAAATATGTTTGCATAAATGGGTAATATTTCTTTTCCTTTTTTACTTTAATTTTTTTTTCAAAAGGGAAGACAGGGAGAATTTTAGCCTTCCTTTCCCTTTCCCTTTGACTTTGCCTTTCCATTCCCTTTCCTTTCCTTTGACAGAGTCTTCCTCTGAGGCTGGAGTGCAGTGGCACGATCATAACTCACTACCGCCTCAATCTCCCAGGCTCAAGTGATCCTCCTACCTCAGACTGCTGAGTAGCTGGGACTACAGGCGCACACCACTATGCCTGGCTCATTTTTAAAATTTTTATTAGAGTTGAGGTCTCGCTGTGTTCCCCAGGCAGACTGGTCTCGAACTCCTGAGCTCAAGTGATCCTCCAACCACAGGTCACAAAGTGCTGGGATTATGTGGTATAGGCATGAGCCACTACACCTGGCTGATAATATTTCTAACATACTGAAGACTCATATTAGTAAGATAAACAGTGAGAATTCACAGAAGTTCTCAGTTGGTAATTTTTAAAAGAAAGACTTTTTTTTTTTTTTTTGAGATGAAGCCTTGCTCTGTCGCCCAGGCTGGAGTGCAGTGGTGTGATCTTGGCTCATTGCAACCTCCACCTCTTGGGTTCAAGCGATTCTCCTGCCTCAGCCTCCCAGGCAGCTGGGACTACAGGCATACGCCACCATGCCCGGCTAATTTTTGTATTTTAAGCAGAGATGGGGTTTTGCCATGTTGGCCAGGCTGGTCTCGAACTCCTGACCTGAAGTGATCTGCCCGCCTTGGCCTCCCAAAGTGCTGGGATTACAAGTGTGAACTACTGCGCCTGGCTATGTTTTGACTTTTAAACACATGAAAATATATTTAACATATCAATAATAAATGTATGTAAAAGGCTGGGCATGTTGGCTCATGCCTATAATCCCAACACTTTGGGAGCCCAAGGCATGCGAATGAAACCCCATCTCTACAAGCAAAATACAACAACAAAAAATTAGCTGGATGTGGTGGCAAGCGCCTGTAGTTCCAGCTACTTAGGAGGCTGAGGTGGGAGGCTTGCTTGAGCCCAGGAGGTCAAGGCTGCCGTGAGCTGAGATCATACCATTGCACTCCAGCCTGGGTGACAGAGCAAAACCCTGTCTAAAAAAATAGAAATATATGCACAAATAACAATGAAGTACTGTTGTCATCTGTTAAAGTAGAAAACAAGGAAAAACGTTTACACAATACCTGTTGTTGGCAAGAATGTGAAAAAGTAGGTATACTCATACACTATTAGTGGTAATATAGATTGGTGCAACTCTTTTGGAGGGTTATTTGGCAGTGTGTGTTAAACTTTAAAACGTACATGCCCCTGCTGAGAATGGTGGCTCATGCTTGTAATCCTAGTGCTTTGGGAGGCTAAGGTGGGGGGATCACTTGAGTCTAGCAGTTTGAGACCAGCCTGGGCAACGTAGACCCCATCTAATAAAAAGAAATTAGCCAGGTGTGGTGGTGTGTGCCTGCAGTCCCAGCTGCTCAAGAGGCTGAGGCAGGAGAATTGCTTGAGCCTAGGAGTTTGAGGCTACAGTGAGCTATAATTATGCCACTGTACTCTAGCCTGGGCAACAGTATGAGGCCCTGTTTCAAAAAAAGCCAAAATAATCTGTGCGTACCCTTTCATATAGCACTGTCACTTTTAGGGACATAATTAAAAATGACCTAGATAATTATGCCCATATGCAGGATGTATAATAGTGAAAAATTATAAATAATATAAATGCCCATTAATTGAGGATTAGTTAAAAAAATGATAGTTAATTCCTACAGTGGAATATTATAGCTACTAAAAAATGCTGTATATGTGTCTACAGAGAGACTTGGATTTTCATTATGTATTGAGTGTAAGAAGCAAGAATGCATTGTGTAAGCTTGTTTAACTTATTTATTTTGGTTATTCTATTTGCAGTCTAAAATTATTATTTGGGGCCAGGCGCAGTGGCTCACGCCTGTAATCCCAGCATTTTGGGAGGCTGAGGTAGGTAGATCACTTGAGGTCAGGAGTTTGAGACCAGCCTGGCCAACATGGTGAAACCCCATCTCTATTAAAAATCAAAAATAAGCCTTCCATGGTGGTACGTGCCTATAATTCCAGCTACTTGGGAAGCTGAGGCAGGAGAATCACTTGAACCCAGGAGGCGGAGGTTGCAATGAGCCGAGATCACACCACTGCACTCCATCCTGGGCGGTAGAGCAAGACTCCATCTCAAAAAATAAAAATAAATAAAATTATTATTTGGTGGTTCTTTATATATTCTGTTTCTTTGGGGAGCCTTTTTTTTTTTTTTTAATTTCTTTTAGGTATGCTCATTGTTGCTTATTTGAACCATTTTAAGAGATGGGTCTCACTGTGTTGTCCAGGCCGGCCTCCAACACTTGGGCTCAAGTGATCCTCCTGTCTTGGCTTCCTAAGTAGCTGGAACTATAGGTGCATGCTACTGGGCCTGACTTCTTTGAAGCATTTTTATGATGGCTGCTTTGTCATATAATTCTTTTTTTTTTTTTTTTTTTTTTTTTGAGACAAGGTCTTGCTCTGTCACCCAGGCTGGAGTACAGTGGCATGATCTTGGCTCACTGCAACTTCCACCTCCTGGGTTCAAGCAGTTCTCATGCCTCACCCTCCCAAGTAGCTGGAATTACAGGCGTTTACCACCATGCCCGGCTAATTTTTGTATTTTTAGTAGAGACGGGGTTTCTCCCATTTTGGCCAGGCCAGTCTTGAACTCCTGACCTCAGGTGATCCACCTGCCTCAGCCTCCCAAAGTGCTGGGATTACAAGCATGAGCCACTGTGCCCAGCCTTCATCATATAATTCTGATATCTTTGTTATCTGGGTATTGGCTTCTATTGGTTGTCCTTTTCGTTCATTTTGAGGTTTTCCTGGTTCTGGACGTGATGAGTGATTTTTTATTGAAACTTGGATGTTTTTAGTATTATGTTGTGTGACTGGTGATCTTATTTGACCTTTTTATTTTGGCTGTTTCTCAAAGGGAGAGTGTGCTGCCTTAATGCAATATGAGGGTGCAAGTATGAGTCCCCATATGGCATGAAGTACAGGGGGTACAAGTGCAGGTTCCCCATTTAGCCTCCATTGACACTTGAAGGATGTTCCTCTTAATTGCTAAGCTGGGGTGGGAGTTCTGGCTCCTCACTAGGCTGCTACTGAAGCCTCTCTATCTAGAAGGAATAGGAGTACCTTTTACTCTCCCCACATGGTCTCCACTGAGACCGCAGGGTGCATTGGGGTGCTGGTGGTGGTTTATTATCACCTGGCTAGTATGAAAGTCCTGTTCTCTATATGGCCTTCTCTGACATGAACCTGTTGGAGGGGTTGAGGGAGTTGGAAAATCAAGTTCTTTGCAGACATGGGTGGGGCCACAGTTTTTTTCTGTAGTGTTTGGTTGGAGTAGAGTAATTATTGTCTAAAAGTTTTCTGTGTTGCACGGCTGTGCCCTTCCTGGTCCTTTGGTTAAAAAGAGCAGGCTTTTGTTGGGGATTTTTGTTTGTGCCTGTGGTGTTTCTGGATTACTGACTTCTTCATTTCCACCCTCCAAGTGTGGGTTATAAGAGGCAAAATGAAAATCCAGAGAATTCATTACCATGTTGTTTTCTTGGTCCTGAGGTCTCTAGCCAGTCTATGTATTTTTTCCTTTACCTTTTGGGGTCTTCTGAGGTTTATTTTATATGTAACATAAGAGTTTTTAGTTGTTCTTGGCAGGAGGAATAGGGACAAGTATGTCTACTCCATTTTTTTGGAAGCAGAATTCTTGTCATTTTACTTATTTTTTAAAAGTTATTTGCGTGTATCCATTTGATTACGCAAGCAGAAGATCTGTAATGGTACACAACAAACTGTTATTAGTGGTCATCTCTGAGGAAGGAGGTTGAAGAGCTTTATTTTGTTAATTTTTATATTGTCTAAATAAAATTGAACAAACTGTTGTTGCCTAAGGAATAGATAACACAAATATATAGAGTAAAAGTGACTACTTCCCTTCAGTAGTCCCATTTTCTCTCACAAAGTTTTGTTTAAAGCTCTCCTGTATTTTTTTGTTTGTTTGTTTGTTTTTGTTAGGAGATACTATCTCACTCTGTTGGCCAGGCCGGAGGGCAGTGGCATGATCATAGCTCACTGCAGCTTCAAATTCTCAAGCAATTCTCCTGCCTCAGCCTACTGAGTAGTTGGGACTATGGGTGCATGCCTCCACACCCAGCTATTTTTGTTTGTTTTTTTATAGAGAAGGGGTCTCGCTGTCTTGCTCAGGCTGTTCTTGAACTCCTGGCCTCAAGCAGTCCTCCTGCCTTGGCCTCCCAAAATGCTGAGATTATAGGCGTGAGCCACTGTGCCTGGCCTGCTTTCCTATATTATTACTATGCCTGCCTGCCTTTTTTTTTTTTTTTTTTTTTTTGGACAGAGTCTTGCACTGTTGCCCAGGCTGGAGTGCAGTGGCATGATCTCAGCTCACTGCAACCTCCACCTCCCAGATTCAAGAGATTCTCGTGCGTCAGCCTCCCGAATAGCTGGGATTACAGGCGCCCACCACCATGCCTGGCTAATTTTTGTATTTTTAGTAGAGATGGGGTTTCACCATGTTGGCCAGGCTGGTCTTGAACTCCTGACCTCAGGTGATCAGCCTGCTTCGGCCTCCTGAAGTTCTGGGATTACAGGTGTGAGCCACCGTGCCCGGCGGACTATGCATTTCTATACGTAAATGTAAATGGGCTTTTAGTTAATTTTGTTTGTTTTCATGTGAGGACAGTGCCATCACACACACACACACACACACACACACACACACACACACACACTCTTTACTAAATATTTGGGAATTTTCAGATGGAAAGGATTATGTGGCTGAAAACTACAATCATAAGTCTCTGAGTGACTTAAGGGCTATGTATATGTCATTCTCTTTCCTTGTTGCATTTTGGCCCATAACTACATGAATCCCTGATATTTTGGCTTCGACTCACTGTACTATTCTGTCAGAAAGGGAAAAAACTTTTTTTTTTTTATGACTTTCTAGTTATGATGCTAGACAAGATGAGCTTTTGAAGCCCAGTTTTATGACTTTGTTCATTCATGCATTCACTCATTCAGTCATCAAATATTTATCGAGCGTTTAATATTCGCCAAATCCTCTTCTAGGTGCTGAGGATACAGTACCACAACAAACAAATCTCTTTCCTCATGGAGCTAGGGATAGACGAACATTAAACAAGTACGTAGTATGTCAGATGATGGTAAGTGAAAGAGAAAAATAAAGCAAGGAAATAAAAAAGGAGAAAAATAAAGCAATGGGGGAATATGCCATTTTAATTAGGATGGTCAGGGAAAGCCTTGTTAATAAAGGTGGCCTTTTTAAGAATGGTGAGGAGGGCAGACATGCACAGGGAACAGAAAGGAGGACAGTGTGGCTGGAGTGGAATGTGAGAGTGGGAGTGTGGTTTAAAGATGACATCAGAGAGGTAATTGTAATCCTAATCATGAGGAAATTATAAGACCTTTGGGTTTTAGTAAGTATGAGTTGGGAAGCTGTTGGAGAGCTGTTCTGGTATGGAAGTGACATGATCTCAAATTGGTTTTTGAGAGTAGGTTCTAGGGGTCAAAGACAGAAGCATGGAGTTAAATGTTCTTGTAATAATTCAAATGGAGAGATATTGGCAATTTGGATCATGATGGTGATATTAGAGGTGGAGAAAAGTAGTTAGCTAGATTGTAAATTTTTTTTAACCTTTAATTATAGAAATTTGGATATGTTTTGAAAGGAGAGCTAACACAAGATATGCGGATGCACTGAATAAAAGATGTGAGGAGTCAAGGATGACTCCATAGTATTTTGGCTCAAGCATCTGGAAAAATTGGGAGCTAAAGGAGGTATTGGAGAAGAAAATTAGGAGTTTGATTTTGGACATGTTAAGTTGATGATGTGTATTAGACACCCACCTATAGTATTGAGTAGGCATTGGTTATATGAGTTTGGAGTTCATGTGGGAGGTTTCATGATTAATGATGTCTCATGTGGCTCCTTCAACATTCATGTCACAAGAGTACTTGATGACTTCACTACTGTTCATGGTGTGATGAGAGAAAGTTGAGTAGAATGGAAGAGATGAGGGACTGGGGTTCTAATCTTAAATTCTGTGACTGACTGTTAATGTGACTTATGGCAAGTCATTTAACTTCCCTGCCTGCCAATTTTCTGTAAAATTAAATTATCTAATTAAATGATTTTAGTCTTTTCATCCAGATATCCTTGGATCTGTATCAAAGAGAAAGTTCAGGAAATGATGCTATGGACTGAATTATGTCCCCCATATTCATATGTTGAAGCCTAACTGATGTGACTGTATTAGAGATAGGACCTTTAGGGATGTGATAGAAGTTAAAGGAAGTCATAAGAGTGGAGCCCTGATCTGATAGAACTGATTCGAAGAAGAGACACTGGCAATTTCTCTGCTACGTGAGGACACAGTGAGAAGGTGGCAGTCCACAAGCCAGGAGGAGAGCCCACACCAGAAACTGAATCTGTGGGCACTTTAATTTTGGACTTCCCAGCCTCTAAAAGTGTGCAAAATAAATTTCTGTTGTTTAAGTCAGGGGTCAGGCCATGGAACGGTACTGCTTTGTGGCCTGTTAGGAACTGGGCCTCACAGCAGGAGGAGAGTGGTGAGTGAGCAAGCATTATCGCCTGAGCTCTGCCTCCTGTCAGATCAGTGGCAGCATTAGATTCTCATAGGAGCGTGAACCCTATTTTGAACTGCACATGGGAGGGATCTAGGTTTGAGAATCTAATGCCTGATGATCTGAGATGGAACAGTTTCATCCCAAAACCCATTTTCCCCACCTTCTCTGTGGAAAAATTGTCTTCCATGAAACCGATCCCTGGTGCCAGAAAGTTTGGGGACCACTGGTTTAAGTGACCCAGTGTGTGGTATTTTATTATGGCAGCCTCCATAGACTGACAGATTGGACTATGGGCCTTATCTTATGTAAGCCTTAGCCAGCCAGAGCAGTTCTGTGATCTGTTTGAATCTCAAGTTCTGAATAAGACTGTGTTTATTAATAAGAAAAAAGTTTGAGAACTAGTGGTTTAGATGTTAATCTAGGATTATGTGAGAGTTTCTTAAATAGTTTGTATGTGTTATAAAAATACATGTGCCCATCACATAGTAGGTACTTAAAAAATACTTGTTGAAAGATGTATGGTAGGTAGTAAGTATCAACTAGAATATGTAATGATATTAATGCTCTTTTTGTATGTTTGTTTTTTATGGGCTTCCCAGCAAAAAGCAGAAAGCCTGCTAGATAAATTCTAAAAGAACTGTAACACTATTAATGTTAACTCTTTTTTTGTTTTTTTGAGACTGAGTCTCCCTCTGTCACCCAGGCTGTAGTGCAGTGGCACGATCTTGGCTCACTAGAACCTCTGCTTCCCAGGTTGAAGCGATTCTCCTCCCTCAGCCTCCTGAGTAACTGGGATTACAGGTTACCCACCACCACACCCAGCTAATTTTTTTTGTATGTTTTCAGTAGAGACAGGGTTTCACTATGTTGCCCAGGCTGGTCTCAAACTCCTGACCTCAGGTGATCTGCCTGTTTTGGCCTCCCAAAGTGCTAGGATTACAGGCGTGAGCCACCATGCCCGACCTAATGTTAATTCTTGATTATTGCAATGCAGAGAATTATTTTAGGATATATTCTAATTGCCTGAGATTGAGTTATAGTAGAGTTTCTAATCCTGACCCCAGTGATGAGATTCTTTGGTTGCCCATTATAGCAAATATGTGTATTGTCCAACATTGTGCTGCTTGCTCTGGTGGTACATGTAAGTCAAAGTTTCTTCCCTCAGGGAGTATGCATTTGAAGAACTATGCTTAGATATATCAAACAGTAAATAATATAATAGTACTAATCAAGTGGTAAATGTCATAGGAGTTAACAGAAGAGAGATCTTTGAGGATTGTATTATAGTAGCTGAGGAACGCTAAACTTTTAAAACAGGTAGAGTTTGCAGACAAGAGGTCTCACCGTGAGATCATGATCCTGAGACAGCAGAGGTTAGATTTAGGGATTCATTACTATGTGGGATTCTATGTTAGTCTTCCACATTCCTGAGGACAGTCTATGCCAGTACTTTTTTATTGAGTGCCTACTTGGTGTCAGGTGCCAAGGATTGAAAGTGAACAAAGGTTTTAGAGTATAATGAGGATACAGACAAGTAAATAGTCAAAGGACAGTATGATAAGAATTTTGTTTTGCTGGAGTATCTTATAACTTTCTTTTAAAGGCTATGTGGAAGAAAAACTAAATCTTTGTGGGCTTGAAAATTACCTCTTTTTATAATTATCTTTACATGAATTCTGTATTGAAAATATTTTTTCTGAGGAAATTTGAAAGCAAAGATTACTTTTTTCAAAATTTTAGTATTGCTGAAGAAAAGGCTGTTGTTAGTTCCATTATCATTCTTCTGGGGTAACTGCCTGTTTTTTCTTTCCAGAATCTTTGAGATATGCCTGTTTGCTTTAGTTTTTTATTTTGTAGTTTCATGGCAATGTGTCTAGATGTCATTGTGTAGGACACCTGTTGGGCCCTCTTAGTGTGAAACTAGGTTTTTAATGATCATGTATGTGAAACTAAACAAATCTGCAAGAAGTTAATTTTGTTCTTTAATGATCATATATGTGAAACTGAACAAATCCACGAGAAATTAATTTTCTGTTTTCTCTTTCTGGAGCTCTTGGTTGAATGTTGACCTTTCTGGATTGATCCTTTATCTTGTTTACCTTTTCACTTACTGCCTTTTTTTGTGTGTGGGATATTTCCTTAACTTTTTCTTTTAGCCCTTTCTTTGACTTTTAAAAAATTTTTAGTTCAGCCACTATTTATAATTTCTCAGAGCATTTTCTTGTTTTCTCATTGTTCTTTCAAACTAATATTCCGTTTTTCTATTATGGATAAAATACTTTGGATCTCTGTTATGCTATTTATCAGATTTTTTTTTTTTTTTTTTTTTTTGAGACCGAGTCTCGCTCTGTCTTCCAGGCTGGAGTGCAGTGGCGTGATCTCGGCTCACTGCAAGCTCCGCCTCCCAGGTTCACGCCCGTTCTCCTGCCTCAGCCTCCTGAATAGCTGGGACTGCAGGCGCCTGCCACCACGCCCTGCTAATTTTTTGTATTTTTAGTGGATACGCGGTTTCACCATGTTAGCCAGGATGGTCTCGATCTCCTGACCTTGTGATCTGCCCGCCTTGGCCTCCCAAAGTGCTGGGATTACAGGTGTGAGCCACCACGCCCGGCCCAGATTTTATTTTACTTTTATTTTCACTTTTTTTTTTTTTTTCAAGACAGGTTCTCACTTTGTTGTCCATGCTGGAGTGCAGTGGTGCTAATATGGCTTATTGCAACTGCCACCTCCCAGGCTCAAGTGATCCTCCCTGCTCAGCCCTTCAAGTAGCTGAGATTATAGTCGTGTGCCACCACACCTGACTAATTTTTGTATTTTCTGTAGTGTCAAAGTCTTGCCATGTTGCCCAGGCTGGTCTCGAACTCCTGAGCTCAAGTGATCCACCTGCTTTGGCCTCCCAGAGTGCTGGGGTTACAGGTGTGAGCCACTGTGCCTGGCCTATCAGGTTTTTTTTTTTCTTTTTTTGAAATTTTTCTTTTTTGAGATGGAGTCTCACTCTGTGGCCTAGGCTTGAGTGCAGTGGTGTGGTCTTGGCTCACTGCAACCTCTGCCAGCCAGGTTCAAGCGATTTCTCCTGCCTCAGCCTCCCAAGTAGCTGGGATTACAGGTGCCTGCCACTATGTCCAGCTAATTTTTTGTATTTTTAGTGGAGATGGGGTTTCACCATGTTGGCAGGCTGGTTTCGAACTTCTGACCTCGTGATTCGCCTGCCTCGATTTTTTGTTGAGATGGAGTCTCTGTCACCCAGGCTGGAGTGCAGTGGCACAATCTTGGCTCACCATGCCTGGCCCGCATTGAGTATTTAATTAAGGATCACATTGAATATTTAATTAAGGATCACATACTGCATTGAAGACTCTTTTTTCTTTTTAATATAAAAATAGACTTCATTTTTTTTCTTTCATGACGTTTGAAGAGCTCAGGTCAGCTTACCTTATGGAATTTCCAATAGTCTAGATTTGTGTGATTGTTTTCTCAATCCTTTTTTACTGTATTAATTGCTATTTCAGTGGGGTTTAGTAGGAGGGATAAGCAAATGGTTTGTTTCTTTATTGTCTTCTTTATTTATTGGTTGTAAATATGATTTTTAATGAGTATATAATGTTCTACCATTTTTAAAAACTACTTTTCTCTTGCTGGTGGTTTTAATTTTTCTGTCTTTTTGCTAATATAAGTAAACCTGCATTGACTATTTTATTATATATATTTGTATATATTTTTAGTTATTATTTTCTTCTTAAAAATTTCCTGAGAGTATATTCAGTGGGTCAGTGAGATTGTTTTTAGATCAAGAACCTTAAAACTGTTCAGTTTTCTCAAAAATGTCCAAATCACATCAGCCACATATCAGAGTCCATTTGATATATTTATACTATATAGGGGATGTAAATTTACCTGAGAGAAAATCATTTGCTTATAATCAGTCATTCTCAGTGTTCTACTGCTAGTGTCCTCATCCTCTATTATCTCATTCAGGGAATTTTTTTAGGCTTCAGAACTCATTGTTTTTAAGGATTCTTTAAAATATAATTTTAAGTGATTGGGTGTAGAAGCCTTTTCCAAAACCTAATACTAGTGTGAGATAAAACTGTAGCCTGAATATTTGTATGGTCACAAGCAGCTTTACTGCATTTTTGTAAAATATTCCAACAGTACAGAAAAAGTAAAAAAGGTATTAAGTTCCCTAAAGCCTCTTTTCCCTTTCAGTCCGTCTGTCTTCTTAGTTGGTTCCATACCCCTCCACATCTTATCCTATGTATTATGGACATATATGTCATAGAGAAGTGTGCATATATGCATTTAGCACTCTTTTTTACACATTGTAAACACAGGTATTCTGCATTTTGTTTTTTTCCCTTAACAGTGTGTCTTGAGATCTTTTTATGTTTGCAGACAGAGATCAATCTCACTTAAGCTGCTGTGTGGGGTTGCACTGTGTGAATGGATTTTATTTTATATAACCATCGCTGTTGCTGGACATTTTAAATTATTTCCAATATGATAATTGTTCTGACATTGCAAGTTTTCTTTCTAGGATGCCAAAATCTGAAAACATTGGGAGACTGTGAGGTTTTTTATGTTTGTTTTATTTTCACCAGCTTGTATTGCAGAAAGTAGAAGTAATGTTTTTCTAAAATAAATAGGATAGGTATTTTATTTCTTTGATTTATTAAAAAACACGTAGTCTCAGCAGGGTACGGTGGCTCACACCTGTAATCCCAGCATTTTGGGAGGCCGAGGTGCGTGGATCACGAGGTCAGGAGTTCAAGACCAGCCTGACCAACATGGTGAAACCCCGTTACTATTAAAAATGCAAAAATTAGCCAGGCATGGTAGCAAGCCCTGTAATCCCAGCTACTCAGGAGGCTGAGGCAGGAGAATCACTTGAACCCAGGAGGCGGAGTTTGCAGTGAGCCAAGATGGCGCCACTGCACTCCAGCCTGGGTGACAGAGTGAGACTCCATCTCAAAAAAAAAACCATGTAGTCTCTTAAAAAGAAAATTCTTCATGGATAGCTATTACTACTTAAAAGTCCGGGTGCGATGGCTCACACCTATAATCCCAACATTTTGGGAGGCCGAGGTGGGTAGATCACTTCAGGTCAGGAGTTCGAGACCTGGCCAACATGGCGAAACTCGTCTCTACTAAGAATACAAAAATTAGCCATGCATGGTAGTGGGCGCTTGTGGTCGCAGATACTCAGGAGGCTGAGGCAGGAGAAGCACTTGAACCCAGGAGGCGGAGGTTGCAGTGAGCGGAGATTGTGCCACTGCATTCCAGTCCGGGCAGCAGAGTGAGACTCTGTCTCAAGAAAAAAAAAAATTCTGCATAGGGCCGGATATGGTGGCTCATGCCTGTAATCCCAGCACTTTGGGAGGCCAAGATGGGAGAATCACTTAAGCCCAGAAGTTTGAGACCAGCCTGAACTACGTAGACCCCATCTCTTTTCTTAATAAAATAAAAATAAAATTTCTATATAGCATTTTACTCTACTGATACTTGAAATACCACATAGCAGTTCCCACTAAATAATGAGGCAATACTATTTATAAGCTGCTTTAACATGATAAAAGCAAATTAATATACTAAGGTAAGCATTAAAGAGAAAAATAGCATTTCCTCTCTGATTCTAAAATTAATATCTACATAGAAAAGTTAAAAACTTTAAAAAAAGTAATCCCGGATTTTACTCCTAGAAGGCATTATATATATACACCTTTAACATTTTGGTGACTGTTCTCACAGGTAGTGGTGCATGGGTGTGTGTGTGTTTCTATATTGAGTCTAGTCATATATCATGTTATGAGTATGTATTATTGTGTGTATATCCAATGCAGTCATTTTTCTTAACTTTTTTTTTTGGAGACAGGGTCTCGCTCTGTCACCCAGGTTGGAGTGCAGTGCTGCAATCTCGGCTCACTGCAACCTCCGCCTCCCAGGCTCAAGTGATCTCCCAGCTCAGCCGCCTGAGTAGCTGGGACCACAGGTGTGCACCACAATGCCTGGCTAATTTTTTGTATTTTTGGTAGATACAGGGTTTCACCATGTTGACCAGGCTGGTCTCGAACTCCTGAGCTCAAGCTATCCACCTGTCTCAGCTTCCCAAAGTGCTGGGATTACTGGCATGAGCCACTATGCCTGGCCATCTTTCTTAACATGTTTTTCACATTTGTGATACATATACACACACAGACATTTGTATGTACCTATATGAATGATACTCTACATGTTGTTTTGCTGCCTTTTTACTCAGCAGTGGACACAAAAATCTTTTAATGCCACTGAATACAGATACATCATTCTTTTAATGTGAAATGTTTCTCTATTTAGGGTATACCTGATTGATTCTGATCAGTGAAACGGTAGAGGCAACTCTCAAATGGACTTTGGCTATGGGTAGTAATCGGTTGGAAACTCCTTTTGAGGACATTAACAGGTAGTTGGGAGTTAAGTGGCTTTTTCTGGCAGACTTGTTTCTTTCTGGTGACTCCTAGAATTAGCGTCAGTGGGGAGACAGCTTGCAGTAATCGGGCTCAGTAAGTGAGTTTCTTTGTGGAGTGTGACTTGAGATATGAAGTGACAGGATTGGTCAGGGTCTTCAGTGAAAGGGAATTAGGAGTGTTGGGATGGAACTGACAGAGAAATTAATGGAAACTGGTAAAGACATCTGGTTTAGGTCAGCAGAGCAACACAGGAAAAAGGAGAGCCTTATCAGTTGTGGAAAGGAAGGACAGTTTTTTAGTTAGGCTAGCTAGGGAGATGGACTTCTTGCAGAGGTGGCTACTGATCTGTTGGCCTTCATGAGTTGGGTGTTATTAGTAGATAGCTGCTTTTGAAATATTACTTGTTATATGGAACTTAAAAGTAAACACAACACTTGTTCTTTGATCTCACAACTTAGAGTAGAATACAGGTGGTTAGGGCGTTGCTAGTTGTCTTCACTTCCTCTTTTCTTTTTTAAGAAAAATAAAAGCATTCTGTTTGTACTTTGTACTATACTTCCTTAAAAAGCATTCTCCAGCTTGTTAGCTATCAGCCAATCATTTTTTAAAGAAGACTTTTATTACATTTTTCTTTAGAGAATGTGTAAATATCCTTACTAAGAGTACATTTCTTTCTTACTGTTTTTTGAAAGAATCACCAACTGAAAAAAAAGTTCTAAGGCATTATTACTGCAGAGTAACCTGAACTAGAGAGCTATCAGGATATTAAAAAAGTACCCCGAATGCCAAAATACATGAGTCAGAAAAACTTGGGTCCAGTTCTTCCCTGTTGGTAATTTAATCTCTGGAGCAAAGCTTAAATATTGCATGAATATGCCTTAAAATATGAAATATGCCTTAAAATAACATGACATTAATTAACTTAATAAGCTTATTGAATGAAGACCTTTCGTAGATACTGGATATATGAAGATGAATAACACATGGCCCCCACCCTTAAAGAAATTATTATTTAGAAGGATGAGATAGAAATATATGCTAAAAGTATATGGACGGTAACAATTAGGCAACAAAGAGGGGGAATAGTCAGTTCTGCTTTGGGATATGGGAATGCCTGAAAAAGCTTATTAGAGCAGGTGATTTTTGAGAAGTTGTTCACTATGTAGCTGCAGATGGGCTGGGACATGGCGGTGGCAAGGATGCTCAATCTAGTCAGGAATATCATCGCCAGTGCCATAGAGGACTGAGATCATGATACTACACATACCTTGCTATGGTAATGGGAAGGTTGTGTGTGGAGGGGGAGGAGATGATGCTAGAGAGGTTGTCAGGGAAGAGGTTTAACTTTATCCAGAAGATTCTTTTTTTTTTTTTTTTGAGACGGAGTCTCTCTCTGTCACCCAGGCTGGAGTGCAGTGGCGCGATCTTGGCTCACTGCAAACTCCGCTTCCCGGGTTCACGCCATTCTCCTGCCTCAGCCTCCCGAGTAGCTGGGACTACAGGCACCCGCCACCACGCCTGGCTATTTTTTTGTATTTTTAGTAGAGATGGGGTTTCACCGTGTTATCCAGGATGGTCTCAATCTCCTGACCTCGTGATCCGCCCGCCTCGGCCTCCCAAAGTGCTGGGATTACAGGCGTGAGCCACCGCGCCCGGCCTCAGAAGATTCTTAAATGGGTAATTAATATTAATAATCAGGGAAAGATTATCTGGCAAGTAGAAGGTGACAAGATTCCAGTAAGAGGTATCAGTTTGCAGATATTAAAGTAATCAAGCCAGAAATGACATGGGCCCAAAGTCTCAAACTAAGTGATGAAAAATCAAAATGGAAATTAGGAGACAAAAAGATGTATTAGAAACAAGATACGTGACTGATTTTGTGTGTGTGGTAAAGGAGAGGGAAGCATCAGGATGACTTCCAGATACTGTGTCTTGGAGAATTTTAGAAAATGCCAGTGCCATTTGAGGAGAAGCTGTTTTAAAAGGAATAATTAGTTTGCTGTTTGAACATGCTGAATTTGAGCTGGTAAAGGATACCCAGAAAGATGTGTTCTGTAGGTATTTGGATCTGGAACTTCAAAAAAGGGTTTATAGTTAAGAATCAAGAGTCATCAGGATTGAATTGTTTGAAACCGTGGAAGTAGATATGATAATCTAGGAATTCAAGAAGAAAAGTGTGGTCTGGTGCGATGGCTCATGCTGGTAATCCCAGCACTTTGGGAGGCTGAGGTGGGGGTATCGCTTGAGCCCAGGAGTTTGAGGCAAGCTTGGGCAACATGATGAAACCCTGTCTCTACAAAAAATAACAAAGATTAGCCGGGTGTGGTGATGCATGCCTGTAGTCCCAGCTACTCAGGAGGCTGAGGTGGAAGGATCATCTGAGTCTAGGAAATTGGGGCTGCAGTGAGCCATGATCACTCCACTGCACCCCAGCCTGGGTGACAGAGGGAGACCCTGTCTCAAAAAAAAAAAGAAGAAAAGTGTCAAAGACAGAGCATGAACATTTTGGGAGTGGGTGCAAAAGAAGAGCTGGTAAAGAAGACTGAGAGGGAATGGTCTGAAAAGATTCCACTGATTTTGTCAGTTAGATGTTGGTGACTATTGTTAAGGTGATTTCAGTGATGTGTTAGGAATAGGATCTAAATTACAGAATAGGCTGGGCACGGTGGCTCACGCCTGTAATCCCAGCACTTTGGAAGGCCGAGGGGGAGGGATCGTGAGGTCAGGAGATTGAGACCATCCTGCCTAACACCATGAAACCCTGTCTCTACTAAAAATACAAAAAAAAAAAAAAAAAAAAAATTAGCCAGGCGTGGTGGTGGGCGCCTGTAGTCCCAGCTATTCAGGAGGCTGAGGCAGGAGAATGATGTGAACCCAGGAGGTGGAGGTTGCAGTGAGCTGAGGTCGCACCACTGCACTCCAGCCTGGGCGACAGAGCGAGACTCTGTCTCAAAAAAACAAAACAAAACAAAACAAAAACAAACAAAATTACAGAATAATTCTGTATTGTATTAGTGGTATTTATGCATTGATTTATACATTTAACTATTATATTAAAATAAAAATATGTGATATATATACATTTAGAGAATTAGATAACCAACTGTCATGTGCCTACTATACAGTTTTTTAAACTTTTTTATTTTAAAATAATTATAAATTAAATTCCTATAAATCATAGGAAGTTGCAAAACTAGTACAGAGAGGTCCTCCTATATAAACTTCACTCAGCTTCCTCCAGTCACCATTCAGTTTAACAAGTGTCCTGGGTTAGTTCAGATGTTAATGTCTTGGGCTGGGTTATGGAACCGTACAGGGAGTGTGGATGTGGATTCTATACCCCTACCTGGTGTAAGCCTGGAGTTTTGATTCTCATAGGTACCTCCTTCCCTGCCTCCACTAGGAGCAGGGCAGATGCAAGCTTCTTTGCTGTTTCTCAGAACGTATGGGTGGAGCTTTTCCAGCTCCTTCTTACATATTGGGCAGCTCTTTTCAGGATTTTGGCTCAAAATAGGGATTTGACTTGTAGCCCTCCCCTGAAATAAGCACAAAGATGGATCTTCTGGCTCTATAGAACCAAGATACCCTTATAGACTGCCTTGGTGTCAGCTGAGGTGACATCTCTCTGGCTTTGAGTTTCTTCCTTTCTGGCACCAGGAATTTCCTTTCCCAGCTTTTCTCTCCCTTTTGGAGTTCTGCTGTATATTCTGATTTTTTCATGTTGATCTAGCATTTCAGTGATACCGTTTGGTCACATGGATGTATTAGTCCAGTCTGCCTTGTTGCTTGAATAAGAAGTCCAATAAAGTATTCTTTTTTCTAATAAAATATTTATTAATTGTATTCTGTGCTTTGTTCCACAAAATGATTTGAGGTTGGATTATATTATTCTCTGTTTAAAAATATTATTATTATTATTACTAGTATTTGAGACAGAGTCTCGCTCTGTTGCCCAGGCTGGAGTGTAGTGGCGTGATCTTGGGTCACTGCAACCTCCGCCTCCCGGGTTCAAGCGATTCTCCTGCCTCAGCCTTCTGAGTAGCTGGGATTACAGGCGCGTGCCATCACACCTGGCTAATTTTTGTATTTTTAGTAGAAATGGGATTTCACCATGTTGGTCAGGCTGGTCTCAAACTCCTGACCTTGCGATCCGCCCACCTCAGCCTCCCAAAGTGCTGGGATTATAGGCTGGAGCCACCTCACCCGGCCAAAAATATTATTTATTTTTAAAATGGGTAATATATACATGTGGTCTAAAATTAGAAAGATAAAAAAAAGAGTATGCTTTTTCTTTTCCCTATTACCCTAGCCACCCCACTCCAATGTCTCTTTATAGATACAACCAGTTACCAGTTTCTTACGCATCCTTCTAGAGGTTAACAATGCACTAGTTTATTGGGTTTTTTTCTTTTTTTCTTTTCTCTTTTTAGATGGAGTGTCGCTCTGTCGCCCAGGCTGGAGTGCAGTGGCGCAATCTCGGCTCACTGCAAGCTCCACCTCCCAGGTTCACGCCATTCTTCTGCCTCAGCCTCCCGAGTAGCTGGGACTACAGGCACCCACCACCACACCCGGCTAATTTTTTTAATTTTTTTTTTTTTTTTTTTTTTTAGTAGAGACAGGGTTTCACCATGTTAGCCAGGATGGTCTCGATCTCCTGACCTTGTGATCCGCCCGCCTCGGCCTCCCAAAGTGCTGGAATTACAGGCGTGAGCCACTGCGCCCGGCCAACAATGCTCTAGTTTATTCTTTAACAGAAGTTTTAAACTTTAGTGTTTATAATTTAATTTTGTAGCTGATATTCAGGATTTTTCCATCTGTTTGAGAAGTAGTATTTTCTTTTGCTTGAGAGCTTTTGACTACAGCTTTACACTGGTTATGTGTTACATGTATGTCTTTATATATGTGAATGCATTATCTGTGTTTTAATTTTTGTTCACAAACTCCTCAGAATGTGACAGAATAAACTGTTGATTAGGATGTTTTAAGTTATGTGGAATATTAAAATGAAACAGTAGCTCTTTTTTAATTTTTAACTGACACATAATAACTATACATATTTATGGGATACAGGGTGATATTTGAATACATGTATATCATGTATAGTGATCAAATCAGAGTAACTGGCATATCCATCATCTCAAATCATTGATCATTTCTTAGTGTTGAGAACATACAAAATCCCCTATTAAAACTAATGGAAAGCTTCATGAATTTGAATGTCATTTTTGGGCAGGAGCCATGCTAATCTTCTCTGTATTGTTCCAGTTTTAGTATATGTGCTGCGGAAGTGAGCACTGGCCCTAATTTTTAGGAGGTAGTGGAAATGATATTTTAAGATACTAGAAATCTTATTGAAACACGTTGTAGCTATCCTTAAAAACTGTGGCCGGGTGCAGTGGCTCATGCCTGTAATCCTAGCACTTTGGGAGGCCGAGGTGGGTGGATAACCTAAGGTCAGGAGTTCGAGACCAGCCTGACCAACATGGAGAAACCCCGTCTCTAATAAAAATATACAAAATTAGCCGGGCGTGGTGGCGTATGCCTGTAATCCCAGCTACTTGGGAGGCTTAGGCAGGAGAATCACTTGAACCCAGGAGGCGGAGGTTGCAGTGAGCCAAAATCGCGCACTTGCACTCCAGTCTGGGCAACAAGAGCGAAACTCCCATCTTAAAAAAAAAAAAATTGCCCTGATTACTAACCAATCCATGCCATTGTTTGCATATGTGCAAATAACTGCCCAAAGAAATGAGGGGGTCTGTCAAAGATAAAGGCTTCTCCTTTGGGTTCCTTAGCCACAGTTTATACCATTGATTGCCTAACTGCAGCTCGGTGTGAAATTCAGTAACATGGAAGCAAGAAATGGAAGCCTATGACCTAATATGTTTTCTTCCTTAGATCAACCTCTCCACTTCTCCTACACCTGCACAGTTAATAAGCCGTTCCCAGGCTTCCAGTTCTACCAGCGGCAGTATTACCCAACAGACTATGTTACTAGGGAGTACTTCCCCTACCCTAACGGCAAGCCAAGCTCAAATGTATCTCCGAGCTCAAATGGTAAGATATGAGCTACCAAATTTTTTCAGTGTTTAAGGACTTGAGAGATCAAAATGTTTCTTGATTTGATACAATAAGAGGTATTTTTAATATTTAAGAAATGTTTAATTGTGTGTGTGTGCATGCGGGCGTGCCTTCAGCTCTTGTACATTTATGTCATGAAAGATTCTACTTTTAATTAATAGGTCTTCTTGGTATCAAATAGTAATTATTACATTGAGAAGCTAATAGAGATTCAGTAACGTAAGAGTGATTATTTTTTAATATCAAATTCATTGAAAACCTTTTTTTCATATTTTAATATCTGTGAAATTTGGATGCATTTTATAACTGATGGCATCTTGGTACTTACAGTGGTCCATAAAATCATTGCCTGTTTTTGTCAACTTAGATTTGGTGAAATAGAGATGTTAAAAAAACTTTGTTGTTAAAGTTATAATTTGTATCCTAGGATTTTCTGAATTCTATATTGGAGTTCCGGATAGTCTCCCAGATGATTCTTAACTTTGGTTTTTCCCATCTCAAATTCTGCAAGGTTATTTGTGTTCTTGTGTTCATTTTGATATTTTATGAATATAGGAATGTTAATTTGGTTATTCTGTATTTGAGTATCTACAGATTTTCTAATTTAATTGTTGAGCTTCTTTAAGGAATATAGAAATTGGTTGACATGTATTTTATTTGATGTCTTTACAAGAAGCTAGACAAAAGCATTGTCCCTAATATATATTTATATTCTTTTTTGTCCAGTGGACTGAATATATATCTGGATCTCCAGTTTTTGTTGTTGTTGTTGTTGTTGTTGTTATTGTTTTTTGAGGTGAAGTCTCACTCTGTCACCCAGGCTAGAGTGCAGTGGCACGATCTCTGCTCACTGCAACCTCTGCCTCCCGGGTTCAAGTGATTCTCCCACCTCAGCCTCCCAAGTAGCTGGGATTACAGGTGCCCGCCACCACACCCAGCTAATTTTTGTATTTTTAGTAGAGACGGGGTTTCACCATCTTGGCCTGGCTGGTCTCAAACTCCTGACCTTGTGATCCACCTGCCTCACCTCCCAGAATGCTGGGATTACAGACATGAACCACCACACCTGGCTTGGATCTTCAGTTTTCTATCTAAAATTGCAAAGTTTCCAATCATTTAACTCATACTATGCTTTAAAATTAGGTTGAACCATTTGAGATGGTTGCTATTTGGCTATTTTTGAACTCTAAAATTAGCAGTTTCATACGGGTCAAACTAAATTGAATATCTTCTTTTTAGGTTTAGTCCTTTCAGGGTGTTGGTACTGGAAATTACCTTTTCAGGAAAGTTATACCATTTGTCCCTTGGTGTCTGTGGTGGATTGTTGCCAGGCCCTACCCTCTCTGTCCCCTAGAATACCCAAATCTGAGGATGCTCAAGGCATAGTATTTGCATATAACCTATGTATATCCTCCCATATACTTTACATCGTCTTTACATATATTTAGTATAATATAAACATCATTTAAATAACTGTTATACTATATTGTTTAGGGAATAATAACAAGAGAAAAATTTGTACATGTTCAATGCAGATGCAGCTATTTTTTTTAAATGAATATTGTTTTGATCTATAGTTGAATGACGAAGCACAGAGCCTTCCATAGGTATGGAGGGCTCATCATTGTACTTTGTTGTTGAATTTACTTAGATTTAGTGTACCAAAGAACTGAAGTTTAAAAGGTCACTTAATTGGTCGTTTAATTTTCTAATTTTTTTGGATCCGCATTTGGTTGAACATTTTAATTTAGATAGCAAGAGGAACTGAATAACCCTTGATACAATTTTGAAATAAAGTATTTACACATTCTTTGAAACAACTTGTCAAATTTACTAAATTGAATTGGTTAATCTCTGAGTGGATTGTATTGCCTTAGAAATTAATGGCATTTGGCTGAGCATGGTGGCTCATGCCTGTAATCCCAGCACTTTGGGAGGCCGAGGCAGGTGGATCACCTGAGGTTGGGAGTTCAAAACCAGCCTGACCAACATGGAGAAACCCTGTCTCTATTAAAAATACAAAAAATTACTCACGCTTGTAATCCCAGCTGCTCGGGAGGCTAATGCAGGAGAATCACTTGAACTCGGAAGGCAGAGGTTGTGGTGAGCGGACATCGCGCCATTGCACTCCAGTCTGGGCAACAAGAGTGAAACTCTGTCTCAAAAAAAAAAAAAAAAAAAAAAGAAAAAATAGATTAATGGCAGTTGTTTGAATATTGAAAAAAATTGAGCTGGGCACGGTGGCTCACGCCTGTAATCCCAGCACTTTGGGAGGCTGAGGTGGGCGGATCACTTGAGGTCAGGAGTTCGAGACCAGCCTGGCCAACATGGTGAAACCCCGTCTCTACTAATAATACAAAAATTAGCCGGGCGTTGTGGCGTATGCCTGTAATCCCAGCTACTCGGGAAGCTGAGGCAGGAGAATCGCTTGAACCCGGGAGGCAGAGGTTGCAGTGAGCTGAGATCGCATGACTGCACTCTAGCCTGGGTGACAGAGACTCTGTCTCACCAAAAAAAAAAAAAAAAGAAAAAGAAAAGGAAAAAAAAGGAAAGTGATAAGTAAAAAAATTAAATGTCTTTGTTTTTTGATGTGAAGATTTTTTTGCAGGCTCTTTTGTTGTTGAACTTTTACATGTGTGGCATTTACTTTTAGAATGAATCTTTCTTTCTTTTCTTTTTTTTTTTTTGAGATGGAGTCTTGCTCTGTCATCCAGGCTGGAGTTCAGTGGCATGATCTCAGCTGACTGCAACCTCCACCTCCTGGGTTCAAGTGATTCTCCTGCCTCAGCCTCTCGAGTAGCTGGGATTACAGGCATGAGCCACCACACCCGGCTAATTTTTGTATTATTAGTAGAGATGGGGTTTCACCGTGTTGGCCAGGCTGGTCTTGAACTCCTGACCTCCAGTGATCCACCTGCCTTGGCCTTCCAAAGTGCTAGGATTACAGGCATGAGCCACCACGCCTGGCCATAGAATGAATATTTCTTTACAAATAGTTTTAAAATGAAAGGGCAACCTGGATTTGTCCTTTAGATCCTTTGTAGCTAAGTGAAATATTGGAGTGTAGTATGTGGCATAGTTATCCTTATGATAAAGAGGACTGAAAAGACTTTTTTGGTGTTTCTTTTTGTTTCTCACTGAAATTTAATTTGTGTCCCAAAATAGTGACTAGTTGTTTACTTCCCATTTTAGGAATCCTGCCACAGTAGTTCTGAGCTAGGAAAAATTTAACTATAATAGCTTATTTGAGACACAATTTGGTCTGAGAATTTCATATCACCAAAATATATTTTCTTTTTTGAGTACTGCTTTTTTTTGCACTCATCAGAATCATGAGCTGTTTCAAAAATGTTTATGATTTTTTTTGAGTTCTCTATTATCAGAAACTTCTCTTTGTCATGTAGAACCTTTTGCTGAGGAGATAATCCTAAACTGCATTGTCTTTCTGTCACAAATTTCAGTCTCTCTTGCCTGCTACACATTGTGTGTGGGACATGTTCTTTTGTCTTAGGGTATTTTTTTGGTTTTCTGTCTGTACAGCTGATTTTCACACCCGCTACCACTGTGGCTGCTGTACAGTCTGACATTCCTGTTGTCTCGTCGTCATCGTCATCTTCCTGTCAGTCTGCAGCTACTCAGGTGAGCTTGTCTAGCTTCATAATGTGTTACTTGAGATCTGGATCTTCAGGTTAAAGTTAAGCATTGCATTTGTGTTTAAGTTACTGATGGTTTCAGTGCTCTTTGTCATGCATTTCAGATTGAAATTTAATAAAATACAATGAGAACTTCAAGAAAATGTTTTTTGTTCTATAAAAATTATAATACCATTAAACACAGATATTTAGGTTATTTGACATTGGTTGGTCAAGGTTAATGAGAGTTTTTGTTAATGGCTTTCTATGTTTAGTTTTCTCATAAAGCAGATTTATTTCTCATGTGAGATATATTCTTTTGCTTAGATTCCTTTGCAGTATTCCTTATGTAATAACTAAGTCAAGATGGATTTTAAGTTTGAAAGTGAATTAAACTAGACACATTTAAAATTTAAAAAATTGGTCAGGTGCAGTGGCTCATGCCTGTAATCCCAGCACTTTTTGGAGGCCCAGGTAGGAGGATTGTGTGAACTCAGGCATTAAAGACCAGCCTGGGCAAAATAGTAAGACCCGGTCTTTACTAAAAATAAAAAAAATTGTTTAAGTGTGGTGCTGCGCTGCTGTAATTCCAGCTTTTCAGGAGGCTGAGGCAGGAGGATTGCTCGAGCCTGGGAGATTGAGGCTGCAGTGAACTAGGATAGTGCCATTGCTTTCCAGTCTGGGTGACACAGTGAGATTAATCATTACAGAAATGCAAATCAAAACCACAATGAGTATCACCATACACTCACTAGAATGGCTGAAATGAAGAAGACTGCTAATACTATATATTGGTGAGAATGTGGAGCATCCAGACTCTCATACATTGCTGGTGAGAGGGTAAAATGGTACAGCCACATGTTGAAAAACAGTTTTACAGTTCCTCTTAAAGTGAAACATACATGTAACGTGTGACTCAGCAGTTCTACTCCTTATGTTTACCCTGAGAGACGTGAAAACACATAAAGACATGTAAATGAATGTTTATAGCAGCGGTACTCAGAATAGCCCCAAAGTGGAAACAACCAAATGTCCTTTAGCTGCTGAGTGGATAAACAAATTTTGATATATACTTTTTTTTTTTTTTTGAGACAGAGTTTTGCTCTTATTGACCAAGCTGGAGTACAGTGGCACCGTCTCCGCTCACTGCAACCTCCACCTCCTGTGTTCAAGTGATTCTCCTGCCTCAACCTCCCGAGTAGCTGGGATTACAGGCACGCACTACTACGCCTGGCTAATTTTTTTTCTTTTTTCTTTTTTTTTTTTTTTTTAAGTAGAAACAGGGTTTCACCATGTTAGCCAGGCTGGTCTTGAATCTCAGGTGATCTGCCCGCCTCAGCCTCCCAAAGTGCTGGGATTGCAGGCGTGAGCCACCACGCCCGGCCTCGATATATTCTTACAGTGGAATACTGCTCAGAAATACTGATGAATCTTAAAAAACATGATGTTTAGCAAAAGAACCTTGGTATAAGGTTCTTGGTATAAGGGATACATACTCTATGATTCCATTATATGAAATTCTAGAACAGGAAAAACTATAGTGAAAAACAATCAGATTAGTGGTATCTGGGGTAGAAAGTAGGAGGAGATTGATTGGGAAGGGGCATGAGTGAACTTCCATGATTAAGGTGATGTTCTGTATATTGGTTGGGGTAGTAATTATATGGTATATAGATATGTCAAAACTCATTGTTTTGTTTTATTGTATGTAAGTTACACCTCAATAAATTTGACAAGAATGAATTAGAGTGAGTACATTTTAAATGAAAACAATTGAGTTAGAGTGTTACTTTGCATGATATTGCTGTATTCTGGTATTCTTCATAATGAATATTTTAGACTGCATATGGCAGAAATGGGTATTTTAGGGTCATCTTTGGCTTCTTATTTGTAATATAATAGTTCTCAATCTTCTGGTAAAAAATAAAAAATGAGGTAGTAATAATATTCCTTGGTATTTTTGATAAAACCTCTATATATTATTTCATTTACAAGTAAAGGCTAATTTTCATGTATTAATTTATAAAGATGATGGTCGGTTAAATCCAGCTTTCTTCTAACTTGCCCTGGCATTCTCTACAGTTAACTTTATTGGACTTTTTTTCCCCCGTATTTATAAAATGAGAACTTTATCTCTGTTAACTTTAAGATTTTTCAGCTCTAAACTTTTTATGTCTCTGTGGAATGAATATGTTGAAGTAATGATCATCTTTTTAAATTAATTGATTGATTTATTTAGTTATTTAATTTTTGAGATAGGGTCTCACTCTGTCACCCAGGCTGGAGTGCAGTGGGTCAATCATGGCTCATTGTAGCCTTGACCTCCCTGGGCTCAAGCCATCCTCCCACCTCAGCCTCCTGAGTGGCTGGGATTACAGGTGTGTGCCTCCACACCTGGCTAGTCTTTGTATTTTTTTCTGTAGAGGCAGGGTTTCGCCATGTTGCACAGGCTGGTCCTGAACCCCTGAGCTCAAGTGATCTGCCTACCTAGGCTTCCCAGACTTTTGGGAGTACAGGTGTGAGCCACTGTGCCAGCCTGAAATAATGATCTTCTTTTTTTTTGTTTTAGTTTTATGAAACCTAATAGAGCTAGACCATCATCAACTTCCAGAACATTTTAAATTTTATTTTTTCATTTATATTTGGCTTTGTTCCAACTAAGATTTTAATTCATTTACAAGGTGCATACAGTAAAATATCAGAAAGTAAGTTGGAACCATGTAAGAAAAAAGACACAAATAAAACTAGGAAAGTGGCATGGAGCTAGGCGTGAAGTTGCTGCTCAGTTTACATGTATGAAGTTCTGTGTGGACTTAAGCTCCTACTTCAGTCATTTATTGTATGACTTGGACAAGTTGCCAAACATCTCTAATATTCATTCATATTTGTAGGGTAAAAGGATGAGTAATATGTATCTTTAGTGTATAAAACATTTACAGGCACTCAGTAAATAGTACTTTTTTTTTTTTGCAAAAGTCGGGGATAGGAAGACTTGGATTCAAATTCTGATTTCAGCAACAACATTTGCCAGCAGATTGATTTTGGTCAAATTCATAGTATAGCATAGTGTTTATAATACGGACTTTGGAGCCGGAATCTCTGAGTTCAAATACTTGCTCTACCATTTTATTATTATAAGTCCTTAACCTCTCACCTCAGTTTCAATTATATAAAATAAAATAACATTTATAATATATTTCAAAAGGTTGCTATGAGGATTAAATATGTTAATAAATTAAAATAGAAGTGTCTGATAGCATTTACTAAATGTTTCATTTACTGAATTGTTTCATTTATTCCTTAAAACAACTCAGCTCTATTCTCGGAGCCGTTACTTGCAGCTCAGCATTGTTATAAGGAATAAATGAAACAAAAAGTACTTAACATAGTGCCTCCACATAAGATATCACAAGCTGCTAACTACTATTTTTGTTATGCATTGTCTGAAGATAAGTCACAAAGTTGGTTCTTAGCTTTCAGGTAACTAATAGTGAAGGGAGAAAAGCAACCACTTAAAGAATTTACAGGCCGGGCGAGGTAGCTCACACCTGTAATCCTAGTTCTTTGGGAGGCAGAGGCTGGTGGATTGCTTGAGCTCAGGAGTTCGAGACCAACCTGGTCAACATGGCAAAACCCCATCTATACAAAAAATTTGCAGGGCGTGGTGGTGCGGGCCTGTAGTCCCAGCTACCTGGGGGGCTGAGGTGGGAGGATTGCTTGAGCCCAGGAGGTCGAGGCTGCAGTGAGCCAAGATCGAGCCACTGCATTCCAGACTGGGTAGCAAAGTGAGACCCTGTCTCAAAAACAAAACAAAACAAAAAAAGAATTTATAGTTTCCAAGGTGAAACAAACAAACCAGCTGCTTAGGAAAACACAGCTGATTTTAACATGTTCTGAGGAGCACAATTTTTCTTGCTGGTACTCATGAAGAAAACATCTTACTTCATATTTAAAGGTATTTTTAATGTGAATAGAGTCAAAATAATTTATAAAAGTGGTCTTTGGGGTCCAGATTGATGTGTTCTAATTATGAGCCTCTGTGATCGGACTTAATTCAAAGATAGATTTTTGAGGGGCTAGAGGAATGGATTGAACTTTAGGAATTTCTCTATGGATATTGTTTCTCTTCTCTGTGCTTTTGAAATGGCAGTGAGTGAGTCTGGCATTGGTAGGTGATGCTCACACTTATGCATTCCAGTGATAACTTTCGTCAAGTTCAAGACTGTTTTGGAAAATTTCTGCATAACTTTGTTGAGTTTTAGAATTATATTTGCAGTTAAAATTTTTATTTTAATTGTGAAATACCAAATCTGAAGTTGTATTTTAATATTCTTTAAGCTATAGAAGTCAGTACAACAGTTAATTTTTCCTTAGTATTAAACATTCTTATACCATAGTGTAAAAATGAGAAATTTGGAATATCTCACTTTTATTTACTATGTTAAATGCTCCATTCCTTCTCCCCACCAGGCACACCCACATAAAAAAAGATTTTTGGAAAGATGTTATAGGGCAGAGTGTGTTAAGAGATGAGCCGGGCATAATGGCTCATGCCTGTAATCCCAGCACTTTGGGAGGCCAAGGCAGGCAGATCACTTGAGGTCAGGAGTTTGAGAGTAGCCTGGCCAACATGGTGAAATCCCGTCTCTACTAAAAATACAAAAATTAGCTAGGTGTGGTGGTGGGTATCTGTAAACAGCCTGGCTAACTTGCAAGGCTGAGGCAGGAGAATCGCTTGCACCCGAGATGTGGAGGTTGCAGTGAGCCGAGATCGCACCACTACAGTCCGGCGTGGGTGACAGGGCAAGCCTCTGTCTCAAAAAAAAAAAAAAAAAAAAAAAAAAAGAAAAAGAAATGAGTAAGAACTCTGACCCAGAGGCTGGCACAGTGGCTCACGCATGTAATCCCAGCACTTTGGGAGGCTGAGATGGGTGGATCACTTGAGGCCAGAAGTTTGAGATGAGCCTGGCCAACATGGCGAAACCCCATCTTTACTAAAAATAGAAAAATTAGCCAGACATGGTGGCACAAGCCTGTAGTCCTAGCTACTCAGGAGGCTGAGGCAGGAGAATTGCTTGAACCCAGGAGGTGGAGGTTGCAGTGAGCTGAGATTGAACCACTGCCCTCTAGCCTGAGTGAGACTCTGTCTCAAAAAAAGTAAAAAAGAAAAAGAAATCTGACCCAGTAAATCCAAAGGGCTGTTTTTTTCCTCAATTCTAAGAGTATTCCCCAGTAAGGCTATCTGGGGAATACTCTTAGAATTGAGGAAAAAAACAACCCTTTGGATTTAAAAGCTAAAAACTCAGCTCTACTGTCAGCAATGTGACCCTCACTCTTAGGGATACTATGATAATTGCCATAGTATTTGTTAGATTCCAGTTAAATAATTGATGTGAGAGTATTTTGGCAGGGAAGCCCTCTATAACAGTGTGAGATGTGAAATTAGCAAAAATAACTCAGGCAAAATGTAGACTTTTTCAAAAGCCAGAAAGTTTTCATAACTTGATCAAAGGAAAGGTTCAGATGAAATGAATGTGGGACACCAGAGTGCCCTAATATTCTTCTTCTTAGAAAGGATGGGTTTTCTTTCAAAAGGGAGGCTCTGTCAAGGAAATCCGTATATGTTATCTTTTCACTAACAGCTAAATTAACTTTGTAATATACTTTGGCAGTGTAGCGTTCATGTTTGGAATTTATTTAAACCATGTCAATGTTTAAGTCAAAATGATCATAGATATTTTAACCATATTCTAAAATATATATGTTCACATAAATAATATATATACAACATAGTGTATGTAAGTATATAAACATTTTCCTTCAGAATTCCAGAAAAGGAAAATTAAAAACAAAAGGAGTATTATTCTATAGAAATGGATATGCTGCAGGTTTCGGGTTCATTGTGTCAAATCCTTGTTTACTGTGAATATACTTTTCATTTCAGGTTTTTCAGATTATTACCCTTTGGTTATCATTACTATGCAGTCTACTTTATAGATCATTTGTGTCAAATGTTAAATTTTATATTGTCTTTCTCTTGCTTCCTGGAAGATTTTAATGTGCCTCTTCTAGATACTTGTTGATGTTTTTGGTAAACATGAACAGATTTTAATGTTAGCCTAAGAACACGATGAAGAGAACTAAGTGCTTACCAAAAAATTAGCCATGTAATATATATTTCAAAATCATATATAGGAGAATACCTCATCTGTTAAGTCTGCAGCACCGAACTGCAGGGAGTATAAAAATGAATGTTGAGATGAGAGTCTACTAGCGAGTCTCAGTATTTCACAGACAAACATACATTTAGTAATTCTAAAACAAGTTAGATATTCATCTGTGCTATAGGCCAGTAATGACCCAAATGCTATGGGAAAGTTGTTCTAGAAGGAAGAAACTCTTTTCTAACCAGGGACTTTCAGAATGTTTCTTAAGTAGGGAAAGAGGGATTTTACTGGGCTTGGAAGAATGGGTTTGGCTTCAAAAGACAGCTTTGAGAAAAGATGGCATTTAGTCAAGAAGTGCTTGAATAAGAGCTCCAAATGAAGGAAGTGGAAGGTATATTTGGGGAATAGTGAGCAGAACAGTTTGGGTGGAATATGAGAACTGTAGGCTGGAGGACTAGAAACTGGGGGCTTGAAGTGGGTTTTGGCCTAGGTTGTGGAGGGCTTTGAGTGGCAATCTGAGAAATCTAGATTCTAATATTTCTTTTTCTTATCTTTTTTTTTTTTTTTTTTTTTGAGACAGAGTCTTGCTCTGTTGCCCAGGCTGGAGTGCAGTGGTGTGATCTCAGCTCACTGCAACCTCTGCCTCCGGGTTTCAAGCAATTCTCCTGCCTCAGCCTCCTGGGCTGCTGGGACTACAGGCACCTGCCCCCACATCTGGCTAATTTTTGTATTTTTAGTAGAGACGGTGTTTCACCAAATAGGCCAGGCTGCTCTCAAACTCCTGACCTTGTGATCCGCCTGCCTCAGCCTCCCAAAGTGATGGGATTACAGGCGTGAGCCACCACACCCAGTCAGTATATTTTGTTTTTGCGTTAAACTTTAATAATGCAGTGGTTATTAGTCCATTTATGTTTACATTGGTATGAAATATTTGAGAAAAATCAGAGAAGACACTCCATATGGTTTCAATTAGAAAATTCTTTGAGTAGCTTAGAATAGAACTGATGAAAAGTTTGGCCTGAAGTATAGCTTTTTTAAAAAATTATTTATTTATTTATTTGTTTTTTTGAGACAGAGTCTTGCTCTGTCACCCAGACTTGTGGGCAATGGCGCAATATCTTGGCTCACTGCAGCCTCCGCCTCCCAGGCTCAAGCAGTTCATGCCTCAGCCTCCCGAGTAGCTGGGATTACAGGCATGCGCCACCATGCCTGGCTAATTTGTGTATTTTTAGTAGAGACAGGTTTGCCGTGTTGGTGAGGCTGGAACTCCTGGCCTGAAGTGATCCACCCACCTCGGCCTCCCAAAATGCTGGGATTACAGGTGCGAGGCACCACACCCAGCCTGAGAAAGGACAGCTTGTTTTGGAGACAGAGTCTCGCTCTGTTGCCCAGGCTGGAGTGCAGTGGTGCCATCTGGCTCACTGCACCCTTTGCCTCCTGGGTTCAAGTGATTCTCCTGCCTCAGCCTTCTGAGTAGCTGGGGCTACAGGTGCGTGCCACCACGCCTGGCTAATTTTTGTATCTTTAGTAGAGATGGAGTTTCACCATGTTGGCCAGGCTGGTCTTGAATTCCTTACCTCAGGTGATCTGCCTGCCTCGATTTCCCAAAGTGCTGGGAGAAGGTATAGCTTTTGAGCATCAGTTAATGATGTAGAGACGGAACACACATGAAACTGAAGAATGTTTTTATAAAGCAGCAGTATATCATTTGCTTGATCACTTCGGAGTCTCTTTTATTTCAGTTTCTCTCCCAGGGCCAGTGCTAGCCTGCATATATTTGATACATTCATTCTAGATAGGCAAGAAGTTCAGCAACTTTTGGAGCAGCATTTTTCTGTCTTGCATCTTGCTGTTTGGAAAGGTTATAAATCTCAGCTGAGATTAATTGGGATAATCCTTGCTACCATCCAGACTGGCAGTATGTTTCATATAGCCCTGAGTGTAGCAGGAGCCACCATAGAAAGCCATTTCAGGGTCATGCAGAGTCTTTTCAGTTCATGAGATGTAGTTTTCAAAGGCAGTGAATGTTCAATAACACCACCACCAAAATTTTACTAAATTAAAAGAGTTGCTTGAAAATGCTTTTCATAATTTTCACAATGGGGCAGATGATTTGATGAATTAATTTTCTTACAAGGTTAATGTCCCCTTAATCTCTATAGCTAGAACTGGTAACTTTTAAATGCAGTATGTTGCAGAGTAATTTCCTCATATTCACAGTTCATACATATATAATACACACACTGTCTGTATATATATATACATACTGCTTTTATTTAGTTCTTTATGATCCTTCCCTTCTCCTCCCCTTCCCTCCCCCTTTCTTCTTCCCTCTCTTCCTTTCTTTTTTTTCTCTCCCTCCCTCTTTTCTTTTCTCTTATGTCTTTTAAAAAATTGCCACTTAATATTTAAGATGTGATTACTTAGAATAATAACTCTCCTTTCCTTAAGGATTAATCAGTTCTTTCAAGTGCTTGGAGCTTTACGTATGAAAAGCATAATATAAATGTGTTGTCAGTATTGTCATAATGGTAATGATGACCACATCAATTAAAACCATCTGTTTTCATCCTAATTTTCTGTTATGTGGTTCTTAGGTTCAGAATTTAACATTACGCAGCCAGAAGTTGGGTGTATTATCTAGCTCACAGAATGGTCCACCAAAAAGCACTAGTCAAACTCAGTCATTGACAATTTGTCATAACAAAACAACAGTGACCAGTTCTAAAATCAGCCAACGAGATCCTTCTCCAGAAAGTAATAAGAAAGGAGAGAGCCCAAGCCTGGAATCACGAAGCACAGCTGTCACCCGGACATCAAGTATTCACCAGTTAATAGCACCAGGTGGGATAAAACTTTTGTTGAAAATAGTTGTATTATTCATTTTCTTAGCAGACAGAGCAAAACAAAGGATGTTCATGACTTGAACAGGAGTGACACCTTTAAAACATTTTAAAATGTGAATTTTATAAACTTAATCTTAATGTGTAGCTTGAAAAGAGACAAAAAAGCCCAAAAGATAAAATAAATTGTAACAATATAATAGGTTTTTTAAAATCAAATTACATTTGATTATCATCTTTAAGCACTGGTCTCTCCTTATATTGATAAAACCTTCTATCTTTAAAAAAAGATTTGCCTGTAGTTTATTTAATATACTTCAGTGGGATAATTTTTAAAGCTTTTAAAAAAGCAGTATACTATTTTGTTTAAAGTTGTTATCAGTGGGAGAAATTTGTCACTTTGAAACATAGGATTATGCATAATTATTTTCCTTATGTTGTTGTCTTTTTCTGCCTTTGATTTCATCTCTGAGAGGATCATCTCAGGCAATCACCTGAGTCACTGTCATTCTTCTCAAGCTTTGAATTCTACCTTTGCTTCCTTTACTTTATCCAGATAATCTTGCCTCATGGTTCTCATACTGAAAATGTGGGGGCCATCCAGAGTGAGCTTACTGTCTCTTCTGTTCATCTCAGAATTTCTCAGGATTGAATTTTGTTTACTTTTGATAAGATAAAGAGTTACATGTATTCTTAAACTTAGCACCATTTGCCCCTGTTGTTGATCCTACCTTTTTTTTTTTAAATTTCCTGACCTTCTTTAGTACATAATTGTTACAGCGTCTTTTATCTTCTCATGCTAGACCTTTTCCTTTGTTTCTCAACCATAATTAGGTCTCCCTTATTCTTAATGTAGCTGCATAGTTTTCTAAATCACTATAACTATATATTGTTTGAGTGTGTGTGTATGTGTATGTGTGTTGCACTGGGCTATACACCTTACAAATGTTTCATTAAAAAAAAAAATCTGGGCGGGTGCAGTGGCTCACGCCTGTAATCCCAGCACTTTGGGAGGCTGAGGTGGGTGGATCACTTGAGGTCAGGAGTTTGAGACCAGCCTGGCCAACATGGTGAAAACCCATCTCTACTAAAAATACAAAAATTAGCAGGGCATGGTGGTGCACACCTGTAGTCCCAGCTACTTGGGAGGCTGAGGTATGAGAGTTACTTGAACCTAGGAGGCGGAGGTTGCAGTGAGCCAAGATTGCACCACTGCACTCCAGCCTGGGCGACAGAGCAAGACTCTGTCTCAAAAACAAACAAACAAACAAACAAACAAAAAACTTCCTTTGTTCCAGCAACCTCATCGGGTAAGCATCTTTTTTCTGTCCTTTTACAACGCTGCTTTGCTTTTTAAAGACTTGTTTTATACTTAGGTGTAAGTGTAAAATATTCCACTTAAACCTATTTCACTTCTCAAGTTTCCTGTGTTAATACTGCCAGCATTCTCTACATCACTGAATCTCAATACTGTGGCATTGTCTGATTACCCTAGTTAGAAATTTCTCCTCCCTCTGAACTTTTATGGTCCCTTCTGGTTCTCTTTCCTTTATAGTTACTTATATACTGATCTTAGCTTGTCTGCTAGATAGTAAGCTCCTTGAGGGTAAGATAATAATATTGGGCATTTATGTATGTGTGAGGCACTGTGTTAGTACTTTACATTAACTCTTTAATCCCTTTTTGGATTCATCTTTTCATCCTTGTATCTTGACAGCACTAAGTTGTATCTTATACGTACTTACGTATGTTAGGTAGGAGGTACATATTTGTTGGATTAATAGTTCATTTTTTTTTCCCACTTGGATTTTGGGAATTATTGCAGTCTTTCTTATTGGTACTAATTAGGTATCACTATACTTAGAATTGTTAAATCTGAATCTTATGTAAGTAGGCTTTGATATAATGTATAAATTAATAAATATATTCAAGCTGGGCGCGGTAGCTCACATCTATAATCCCAGCACTTTGGGAGGCTGAGGAGGGCAGATCACCTCAGGTCGGGAGTTCTAGACCAGCCTGACCAACATGGTGAAACCCCGTCTCTACTAAAAATACAAAAATTAGCCGTGCGTAGTGGCCGGCACCTGTAGTCCCAGCTACATGGGAGGCTGAGGCAGGAGAATTACTTGAACCGGGGAGGTGGAGGTTACAGTGAGCCGGAATCGCCCCATTGCACTCCAGCCTGGGTGACAGAGCAAGACTCCGTCTCAAAAATATATATATATATATTCGTAGTATAGTTAGACACGAATTCTTATTTTTTTTTTTTAAACCTCTGTGTGCTAGGCGCTGCTCTCTGTATGGCATAAAAGCTGGGTTTTTACACTACTGTACAGAGTATTCTCAGCCTCAAACCAGCGTCTGGCTAGTTTTGACAGTGTGGAGCAATGGTGACCCATGGTCCTTAGGATGACTGCTCAGGGACAATTTCTAGTGATTCCTGCAGTTTTGATAAATTATAATGAAAGGTAGATTGATTTCTTTCTAAAGAGAACGTTACTTTCAGAGAAAGCCGGGAACTCTTTCAGGGTTAGTTCAAGCAAGGAAATCTAGTTTTGGATTTTTCAGTCCCCCTTAACTCTCAATATCTGGTTCTGAATTGCAGCTTATTCTCCCCTCTTTCATTAATAGTGTGATAATATGCTTATAGTTTGCATTCCTCTGATGGTCAATATCTTGTGTAAGTATGGAGGAAACCAGTAAGCCAAAACCACCAGAGTCTCAGGTCAGTTTTAAGTCCAAATTCAGATCTTACATATACTCCAATTTTCCTTGATGTTGTTGATTATAAACAAACCACGCAGAAAATCCTGAACTACTTAAAAGTTTCTTAAGCCTTACACTGCAGTTATTCAAAGCCATTCATATCTTCTATTAAGGCTATAGCTATATTTTTCACCTTTTTAGTTTTTCTGCTTTTATTGGTAAGAAGTTAATCTTGGCCTGGCACGGTGGCTCACGCCTGTAATCCCAGCACTTTGGGAGGCTGAGGCGGGCAGATCATGAGGTCAAGAGATCGAGACCATCCTGGCCAACATGGTGAAACCCCGTCTCTACTAAAAATACAAAAATTAGCCAGGCATGGTGGCGCGCTCTTGTAATTCCAGCTACTCTGGAGGCTGAGGCAGGAGAATCGCTTGAACCTGGGAGGCGGAGGTTGCAGTGAGTCGAGATCACACCACTGCACTCCTGCCTGGCAAAAGAGCGAGACTCCATCTAAAAAAAAAAAAAAAAGTTAATCTGAAGCGAAGATATTTTGAGATATTCTCAATTGATTATTTGTCCTCAATTAGAAAAATGTTCCTTCAAGTCATTTTAAATGTAAAAAAATCTACTTGTATTCTAATGTAGTATAGTCTAATTATTATAGTATACATGGTTATTGTTTTCTTATATGTATTTTTAGGGTGCCAAAGTAACTTGGTTTTCTTTATCATTTCTTTTTGAAGGTGGAGTTTCCACTTGATACATAGTAAATTCTATTTTTAATATGTAAAATAAGGTCAAACTTTAAATGTTTGGAAACATGAACTGTATTAGAGCTGAAGTTTTTCTATCACAGTTTTTAGAGCTTTTATGAAACTAGCTTAATTGGAAAAAATATATACTGTTTTTTGTAGACATTAATTCATTGTGTAGTGAGAAGGTCCTGTATTAATCAATCTGCTCCAGCTGCCATAACAAAATACCATAGACTGTGGCTTAAAGAGCAGAAATTAATTTTCTCACAGTCCTGGAGGCTGGAAAGCCCAAGATCGAGGTCTGGCAGTGTTCAGTTTCTGGTGAAGGCTCACTTCCTGGCTTGCAGATGTCCTCACATGGCCTTGAGTGTGTGGTGGGTGGAGGGAGCAGAAGCTCTCTGATGTCTTTTCTTAAAAGGGCACAAACCATGTCATGTCAGGGCCCCACCCTATGACCTCATTTAACCTTTGTTACTTCCTTAGAGGCCCCATCTACAAATACACATTGGGAGTTAGGGCTTCAGCATACGAATTTTGTGCCACAAACATTCAGTCCATAACAGGGCCCTAGACTCAGTTAGGATCATAGGTTCTTTTAGACCTAATGCTGTCCTTAATAGCCAGATGATTTTGGGCAAGTCACTTAACTACTCACAGTTTCTTCATCTGTCGTATGTTGGATTGGTATAGTACCCTATCACCTTCATGGGGTTGTTGTAGTTACTGGGTGAAATAATATGTGTTACTGTAAATAATAGAATTATATATATATGTGAGAGATGTCAGCCATTAATTCTCTGAATTTAAAGCCATCCTGACAATAAGATGTTTATTAAAATCAGAGAAATTAACCAACATGATAGGATTTTTTTTCCCAGAGCACTAGGTCTTTTCTTTTACAGAGGTATTGCTTCACATAGCCACCTAATTATTCTGTAATATATGTGCTTATCAATTGGTCTTATGGACTAAAAATAAACACACTTTGATTTCTGATCAAAGAAAAATGTAATTTAGATGAAAGGATAGATTGCTAATCTGTTGAATTGTCACAGCTCTAAGATATAAAAAGATTGCTTACTTACCAGAGCATAGAAAGATTTGTTATTCTTTTTTTTTGAGATGGCGTCTCCCTCTGTTGCCCAGGCTGGAGTGCAATGGCACGATCCCAGATCACTGCAACTTCCGCCTCCCGAGTTCAAGCAATTCTCCCACCTCAGCCTCCTGAGTAATAGCTGGTATTACAGGCGTGTGTTACCAAGCCCGGCTAATTTTTGTATTGTTAGTAGAGATGGGGTTTCACCATGTTGGCCAGGCTGGTCTTGAACTCCTTACCTCAGGTGATCCTCCCACCTCAGCCTCACAAAATGCTGGGATTACGGGCATGAGCCATTGCGCCCAGCCAGAATTGTTATTCTAGTACCATACTGGTACTTCAACAGTATGGTAAATTTAAATTAAAGCTTTACTTACAAAATTGAATTGAAGTGGGCCCTTGCTGTTATGCTTGCAAAAAAATCTATTTACTTATCTGTAAGAGGGAAATAATAATACCCACCTATACCACAGGCATTTTGTAAGTATGAATGAGAGACACGTGAAAGCACTTTCAGCCCCTTGGATGAAGGGCACGCTGTAGAAATCCAAGATTTTGTTAATTTACCCTTTTTGAATACTGTTTAGCATAGTCTATATCAACACAGTTTTAAAAGACTGACATAAAATTTTCAGTCTTAGTGTGAAGTACTAGCCTAGATACTTATATGAAAATTATTTTGTTGACTTGATTTCCTTTTTTTTTTTTTTTTTTAACAATTAGTGGATATTTATTGAACTTTCCAAACGCCTCTTTTTTGGATGTTAATCAGATGTTAATTTCTTTAAAGGATTCCAAAAATTTTAAATAATAACCAAATGTGAAAATTTTTTTTAAAAAGTTGTGGAAAGTTTTTATAAAGTTGTCACAAATGTGGTTGAACACAAAAATAGATGTAAGGTATAATATAGTCTTTCTCCTAATATTCCAAGGTTAGGAAAAAAAAAATTGCCCTGTCTTTAAATCTGTGTTAAATGTGTGTAATTTTTACATGATATTAACATTAAGCAATTGTTTCAGTTTATCTTCTTGTGAACTCAGTTTCCATTCTTACTTAGGATTTCATCAGCATCTCCCTTTCTATAAACATGTGCCACCAGTTTGCAGAAAAGGCATGATGGGGGGCTCCCTACCACTTGACTGTGCTAATTCTTACATATATTTATTCCTGTTGAGTGGCTTCTTTGTGGAGAAAACCTCATACTGTCACATCAATTATTGAAGTTTTTTTTTGGTGAGGGAAAAGGGTTAACAAAATCCCTTATTTAGGTAGCATGGGCTTCTGATTGTCTCATTCTCTGCAAGCAAAACTAGTGTTTTCCTAGATTTGGAATGGCCCCTAAATTTGAGTTCTTAGTTACAGTGATTAATTAACTGTGCTACAGGATTCACACACGTCTTTTGCTTAATCACATTAGATTATTATACAAAATATTTTCTCTTCCTGGGTCAAATGATATATATACCCTCATCTCAGCTCAAAAATGGAAACTCATTTGGGAAGCTTTATAAGTAATTACCCTATTAGTTGGAAGCACGTTTAGATATGGATTAGAAAGGATGAGATCTTTATTTTATGAATTTTAATATAGTATTTTTATGATTTTGAAGTTATCTTTATATATGTTATACTTGTTCTATGATGATACTCCTCTTTTCCTGCAAAGAAGAAATTCAAGTGTATAAACTTTGCTAAAAGTTAATGTAGATATTCAGGTGACCTATAAAATATAATAAGAACAAACCATGTATAGATTCAGATTATTAAGTTTTAGGCAGTTTTCTTTTAGAACTTATCACAGTACAGTGTATTTTATGATATTTTCTAGTTTTCCAACTATAAATTGTCATTAAATATTCAGGCCAGGCGTGATGGCTCACGCTAGTAATCCCAGCACTTTGGGAGGCTGAGTTGGGAGGATCACTTCAGGTCAGGTTTCAAGACCAGCCTGGCCAACGTGGTGAAACCCCGTCTCTACTAAAAATACAGAAGTTAGCCGGGTGTGGTAGCGGGCACCTGTAATCCCAGCTACTCCGGAGGCAGAGACAGGAGAATCGCTTGAACCAGGGAGGTGGAGGTTGCAGTGAGCTGAGATCATGCCACTGCACCCCAGCCTGGGTGACAAGAGCAAGACTCTGTCTCAAAAAAAAAAATTTTTTTTTTTTCAAATTACTCTTGTTTGGAAAACTTGTAATAGAATTCTGATGATTATGACCTTCTGATAATGAACACTTTTTCCTTTAGAGTGATTTAAAAATTTCTGTATTTTTGAAATCAGTACTAATTGTCATTTTTTTCTCTCACAGCTTCATATTCTCCAATTCAGCCTCATTCTCTAATAAAACATCAGCAGATTCCTCTTCATTCACCACCTTCCAAAGTTTCCCATCATCAGCTGATATTACAACAGCAGCAACAGCAAATTCAGCCAATCACACTTCAGAATTCAACTCAAGACCCACCCCCATCCCAGCACTGTATACCACTCCAGAACCATGGCCTTCCTCCAGCTCCCAGTAATGCCCAGTCACAGCATTGTTCACCGATTCAGAGTCATCCCTCTCCTTTAACAGTGTCTCCTAATCAGTCACAGTCAGCACAGCAGTCTGTAGTGGTGTCTCCTCCACCACCTCATTCACCAAGTCAGTCTCCTACTATAATTATTCATCCACAAGCACTTATTCAGCCACACCCTCTTGTGTCATCAGCTCTCCAGCCAGGGCCAAATTTGCAGCAGTCCACTGCTAATCAGGTGCAAGCTACAGCACAGTTGAATCTTCCATCCCATCTTCCACTTCCAGCTTCCCCTGTTGTACACATTGGCCCAGTTCAGCAGTCTGCCTTGGTATCCCCAGGCCAGCAGATTGTCTCTCCATCACACCAGCAATATTCATCCCTGCAGTCCTCTCCAATCCCAATTGCAAGTCCTCCACAGATGTCGACATCTCCTCCAGCTCAGATTCCACCACTGCCCTTGCAGTCTATGCAGTCTTTACAAGTGCAGCCTGAAATTCTGTCCCAGGGCCAGGTTTTGGTGCAGAATGCTTTGGTGTCAGAAGAGGAACTTCCAGCTGCAGAAGCTTTGGTCCAGTTGCCATTTCAGACTCTTCCTCCTCCACAGACTGTTGCGGTAAACCTACAAGTGCAACCACCAGCACCTGTTGATCCACCAGTGGTAAGCCCTTGGAAGCTCTTTGACTTTCTTGCTGAACTGAAAGTAAAAACTATTTTTTCCCACACTATGTTTTATTGCAAGATCTAAATGCCTGTGAACTAAAAAAGCTTGAAATTTCCATGTGTCAGTATTCTGACAAACATGCTGTATGGGCAAAAAAAAAAAAATGCCATTGTTTGTTTAGTGTGGTTGCATGCTTTATAATTTGTGATGGTAATTAAAGTCCCTCGTTAATTTTATTACTATTTAAACAAATCCATCTGCTATCTTTACAGAGTTGATTTTTTTTCCCCAAGGGAATGCATTTGAACCAGTGTCATCTGCACAAAGTTTTTTCTCTTAAGGTGATTATCCTTCATAGATCCCTTCTGTTGGCTTGTATGTTCTCAAAACGTATGGTTTATCTAGCCTAACCCTTTTAGTTTTATGCATCCTAGAGTCTTGGGCTTTTAGGGGATTTTGTTTCAAGTTGGAGATATGCTTATATGATGTAGTTTTTTGGTAAAATTATACTTTGTAGTTGAAATTTTGTAAAAAAAAAATTATTCTAGGAGAGAGTCCAGCTTTGCCAAAAATTTAACTGTAGGCCATCTTATAGAATTATTAAACTTAATGGTTTGTTATTTCTACTAAGGAAAAATATGTACTTAAAATATTTCTCACTTAAAAATGTCAAAAAATCTTGGTAGATGAATTTAATACTGAGGATGAAAAAATCCATTTAGAGGAGTAAAAGTTTCGAATAATTGAGATTGTAGTGGGATTTTTAAGAATAAACCTCTAAAAACAATTGTTGCCTAGAAAGAAAAATTATCTTGAAAAATACTTTTCTTTAAACATTCTCTAAAAGACATTTTAAGATTTATAAAACTGAAATAAGGTCTCTAATTGTTTAGTCAGAAGGATCAAATTCATAATTTGTAACTGAGGAGAAGAATCTTCCTAAAGGGAGGTTTTGTATTACACCTCATCCAAGAGATTTTATCACCTAAAAGCTAATAAATATTAGCTCAGAAAGGAGTTTCGAAGTATTTTTTATTATTAATACTTGTTTTTTCTTTTCATACTTGGATTATCCTCAATGTTCTTTAATGAAAAGTATTTTGGTTCTCATGATACAAATGTATAGATTTTTGTATTCTTGTCATTCTTACTGATCTTAATAGGCACAGAGATTGAATTATACCTTCTGTAAATTTTTATTAAAAGCAGAACTTGGCTGGGTGTAGTGGCTCACGCCTGTAATCCCAGCACTTTGGGAAGCTGAGGTGGGCAGATCACCTGAGCTGAGGAGTTCGAGACCAGCCTGGCAAACAGGGTGAAACCCTGTCTACACAGAAAAATACAAAAATTACCCGGGAGTGGTGGCCATGCCTGTAATCCCAGCTACTCGGGATGCTGAGGCAGGAGAATCTCTTGAACCTGGGAGGTGGAGGGTGCAGTGGGCCGAGATTGCGGCCTGGGCAACTGAGCGAGACTTTGTCTCAAAAAAAGGAAAGAAAAATTTTTAAAAAGTTTATCATTCAGTTATCATGTCTATATTTTCTTTCAATAGATTTTTGGAGTTTACTATGGATATTGTAACAAAAACAGGGGTATAGGAAGCGTACAGCACCTTCAAAAAATTTTTAATTTAAATTACTTTCTCACTACCTAGTTCAGTGATTTGGTTTTTAACCAGTAAAAAATAAGGCAGTTTCCAGGCAGGGCATAATAGAAAAGAAAAAAAATACAATTTAAAAATAAAAACAAACAAAAAAAAACTTCTTTATAGTCCTTATATATTTTTAATTGTTTATGTTAGGGGAAGCTATAGAGGAACAAATTTGGGATAGAAATATAAGGCTGGGTGTGGTGCCTCACACCTCTAATCCCAGCACTTTGGGAGGCCAAGGCAGGTGGATCACCTGAGGTCAGGAGTTCAAGACCAGCCTGGCCAACATAGAGAAACTCATCTCTACTAAAAATACAAAAATTAGCTGGGCATGGTGGCGAATGCCTGTAATCCCAGCTACTTGGGAGACATAGGCACAAGAATGGCTTGAACCCGTGAGGCAGAGGTTGCAGTGAGCTGAGATCGTACCACTGCACTCCAGCCTGGGTGACAGAGTGAGACTCTGTCTCAAAAAAAAGAAAAAGGAAAAAAAAAAAAAAATATATATATATATATATATATATACATATGGAGCATAATACTTTGAAAACTAAAGCCAAAAATATTTTGTTGCTTCCTGCACTTCTACCTTAAAACATTTTTGGAAGTTTAAAAAATGATATTAATAACTTTCTCTGCTATCACTGATATGGTTATAATGCTTGCTATGGATGTTTCCATGTTACCTTTCTAAATATTTTTTAATCTTTTACCTTTCTTTGAGTAACATAGCTCTTTAATAATTTATTAAGCTTGTTTTTTTATTACCTTTGACCAAATGTGTTATTTTTTCCATTCAAACACATTTCTTCACAGGTTATATTTTTCTGGTTGTTTCAAACACTTAAAGGTAGAAAGATGTATTTTTTAAGAGATGTGGAAATTTGAAAGATAAGGGTGAATTTTCAAAGTAAAATCAGTATGTTTTTTAAGATACTTAAGAATTAAAGTTTTTTGTTGACATTTGGATATAAGTATGTTGAGGGTAGATAATTTAGAACTAATAAACAAATATTCCTCAGTTTATTTAGGAAAGGGAAACAGATGGGAATATTGGACTTTATTGAGGTAAGTTTGGCAGTCTTTGTTATTTTTAGAATAGTTATAGTTATGAGCTAAACAGTAATTGTGATGTGCAGTTTCCTAATGATCTTGTGAGTGAGCAAAACCTCCACTTTGCTTTTTTCAACATTTTAATTGTTGAACATTTAGATTTGTTAATGCTGATTGTGCCAGATGTCTGTGACAGATTTGTTTTTGCCTACTTCTTTTATTCATGCACTTATTTCGCCTTTATATGAGAGTTCTGGAAGTACATATAGTTAGCTTTAAGTATAATGAGTGGAAAGTATTTTACAGTATTTGATGGATTATTTCAAAATATGCTATTTGTGTTATGGCTCTTTTCATTCTTTAAACTCTTGTTTTTAAAAATCAGAATTCTATGTATGATCAAGCTTTGATTTCTTAAAAGATACTCTAGCAGATGTTTGAATAACATGTAACTGCATTAGGATTAAAGAGAGTTTCAGCATTTTAAGCAAAGATCATGTTCTTTGGAAGAAAAGTACTATCTATTATACTGAAGGAATGCTACATAGATAAAATTGAACTGGTCGATAAAACCATACTTGTTTAATTATCTCTGAATTAACATCTCTGACACTAAGGCAAATTAAAGTATTCACTGTGACAGCACTTGCCCTTGGGGACTAGATTTTTTTTCTTAACCCCCCAGACACTTTTTAGAATGATTTTACCTATATTGGGCATTATCATCATTTAAAAAACTGTTATTATCATGAACCGATCTAGTATAATTGTTGCTCCGAACAATAACAAATGACTGCTTTCACGTCTGAGATTCAGGCATGAGGCACAGAATCTCTCTTAGTGTAACTGGTTTCCAGGTGCAGGGTTGTGAGCAAATAACTTTAAAAAATGTTGCCTACTTTGTAGCTGATTCAGATCACAGTTCTGAATTTTATATTTGGTATAATATTATGTTTGATATAAAATTATCCAGTAACAGTAGAATTTTAAAGTTGTACAAAAGACAAAAGAAGATGTTTTATTCTTAGTGGAGCCTTGGAAAGATTTTTATTTTATTTTATTTTATTTTTGATTGTCACCTATTGTTACCTTTATAACTTACTGTTATATCCTTATAGGTGAAACTTGATTGTCCCTTTTACAACACATGGGTTTTGCTGGTTTCAGAAATCCTGATCACTTTTATGTATAATTTTATATACTTTAAAACATCAGACTTTTAAAATAGTTTGATTAAAAATGTACACAATATTAGATGTTGCTGAAAGGTTTCTTGTGAATGTTGAAAGTTTGTTTGTTAACATTTGTGGGGCTAGGTGTGCAGTGGCTCATGCCTATAATCCCAGCACTTTGAGAGGCCAAGGCAGGAGGATCACTTGAGCCCAGGAGTTTGAGACCAGCCTGGGCAACATAGTGAGACCTCATCTCTACAAAAAACATTTTAAAATGAGCTGGGTGTGTTAGTGAACACCTGTGGTCCCAGCTACTCAGGAGGCTGAGCTTGGAGGTCAAGGCTGAGTGAGCCATAATGGAGCCACTGCACTCCAGCCTGGGCAGCAGAGTGAGACCCTTTCTCAAAAAACACTTTTTTAATGGGAAGATTAGTCAGTATGGTTAAATAAGATTTTAAAAACTCATAATTTTTGTAAACTTAAGTAATAAGCTTTATAGATAAAAGAAGGGAAATGAACTCTTATGGCTTTATTTTTAGTAATCATTTTTCATAAATAATGGTTAAGTAAATAATAAATGATAACAAATTAAATTAAAATACCCATGTCAACCTCTAGAAGTGTTCTTTGAAATGGAAACATTAATAATAAGGTATTGGCCGGGTGCGGTGGCTCACGCCTGTAATCCCAGCACTTTGGGAGGCCAAGGCAGGTGGATCACGAGGTCAAGAGATCAAGACCATCATGGCCAACCTGGTGAAACCCTGTCTCTACTAAAAAGTACAAAAAATTAGCTGGGCATGGTGGCACGCGCCTGTAGTCCCAGCTACTCGGGGTGGCTGAGCCAGGAGAATCGCTTGAACCCAGGAGGCAGAGATTGCAGTGAGCTGAGATCGCACCACTGCACTCCAGCCTGGCAACAGAGCGAGACTCTGTCAAAAAAAAAAGTATTTCTAGTTACATAGCTCCTTCTCAGGGTGCCTTCGATTCCATTTTCCTTTTTCTTTTTTTTGAGATGGAGTCTCACTCTGTTACCCAGGCTGGAGTGCAATGGCCTGATCTTGGCTCACTGCAACCTCTGCCTCCCAGGTTCAAGTGATGTTCTTGATTCAGCCTCCCAAGTAGCTGGAACTACAGGCGCCCGCCACCATGCCTGGCTAATTTTTTGTATTTTTTTAAGTAGAGGTAGGGTTTCACCATGTTGGCCAGGCTGTTGTGGAACTCCTGACCTCCGGTGATCCACCCACCTCAGCCTCCCAGAGTGCTGGATTGCAGGCACGAGCCACTGCACCTGGCCCCATTTTCCTTCTTAAGTATAATCTTTACAATTGGATAACAAGGTGGTTAAGTTATAGACTTAAAAACTTTCTCCCATAAGTATGGAACATTATAAAAAGAGTAAAAAAATAAGGTGTCAAAGAGCTTAGGCTGTGTGTGTGTGTGTGTGTATGCATTTCAAGGAAAGATATTTTCTGTTTGCATATTATATATAAAGAGTCATTAGATTGTTGAGTAGAACAGAAAAGGAGAGATATAATTGCGTATCTTTTTTTGTAGATTCTCAGATGTTACTTTTTATAATTTAATCTTTAAATTACATAATAATAAGGAAGAGCCTGGGATAGAATCCTACATGTCCTAATATAGTGTGTCATTGTAGGAATTCGCTTAGTGTGCTTATGAAAAATGTTAGTATCTGTTTTGATTCATGACAGTTAGAAGTTAACAAAAACAGTTGAATTCCCAAAATCGTTATTTTATTTGTATTTTTTAATTATCGAAATAAAAAATATTTTCAGACTTGACTACCATCTTTTTGGAAACCTTGGTGATTTTTGGTCTAGATACTGATCCACAGCTTGCTTTCAGTCAAATATTATGAAGAAATATGAAAAACTTCATTCGAGCAATTTTTAAGTTTTCCTTTCAGTCTGTTAGAGTAGTCATTTTTGCCTTGTTTTTAAATTTAATACACATAGAATTTAATTTTCTGAAATTAAGAACACCTGATAAAATATAGTTTTGGAAACATTTTAAGGCAGTATGGTTTGTCATTGCAGGTTTATCAGGTAGAAGATGTGTGTGAAGAAGAAATGCCAGAAGAGTCAGATGAATGTGTCCGGATGGATAGAACCCCACCACCACCCACTTTGTCTCCAGCAGCTATAACAGTGGGGAGAGGAGAAGATTTGACTTCTGAACATCCTTTGTTAGGTGAGAAAATACCAAAATTTGTGGGAATTTTTCTATTTGATAAATGTTAATAATAGGAAAAGTTGATTTTTTTCCCTTTCCTCCTTTCACCCTTTTTGTAGCTGGAACTACAGGTGCACACCATTACAGCTGGCTGATTTTTTATTTTTTATGGTGACGAGGTTTTACTATGTTGCTTAGGCTGGTCTTGAACTACTGGCCTTTAGTGATTTTACTGCCTTGGCCTTGCAAAGTGTCAGGATTACAGGTGTGAGCCATTGCACCCAGCCTGTTTATTCACTAGAGATAATATTAAACGAATTTGTTATGGTAGTTAATTGTAACAAAATACAGATTTGAGTTTAAGGTTGTTTTTTGAGACAGGGTCAGTCTCTGTCATCCAGGCTCAATCATAGCTCATTGTAGCCCCTATCTCCTGGGCTCAAGAGATTCTTTTGCCCCAGCTTCCAAATAGCTGGGTCTACAGGAACCTTCCAGCACACTTGGCTAATTTTTTATTTTTTAGAGATAGGGTCTCATCCCGTTGCCCAGGCTCATCCCAAACTCCTGGGTACAAGTGATCCGCTTGCCTCGGCTTCCCAAAGTGCTGGGATTACAGGTGTGAGCTACCATGCCCAGCCTGGAAAATTCTTTAATAGCAGGGAAGCTCAATAGCTTATAAATTGTTCAGTACCATCCAGATGAAAACCTATCATTTCAGGCTTCTAATTTTTAGTGATTTGTGCAGACATGTTTCATATGCTCATTCACATTCATGTGTCAGACTATTTCTAGTTTAAAAATTAGAATAAATGAAAATTCTTTCAAAAGATTTAAATAATGCTTTCCAAAAATCATGAAGCATTCTAAGCCATATATGATATTCCTCACAATTGTTTGTGATTCAGACTGAGTAAGTGCTTTTAGACATGGATTAAAAAAATTCTTACCTGGACTTCTTGGTGCATGCCCGGAGTCCCAGCTTCGTCAGAGGCTGAGGTAGGAGGATGACTTGAGCCCTGGAGTTTGAGTTCAGCCTGTACAACAGAGCAACACTCTGTCTCTTAAAAAAAAGTTCTTGTGCTTAACCATTCAAATTCTTATTCACTATTTCAGTGCTGTTTATGAGTTCAAACAAATATCCCGTATGTGCCTCCTCACAAAGCTACTGTGTATTCTAGGTATTTTACTAAACACAAATGTTTCGTGTTATTTTTTTAAATTTATGAATGTTAGGATTAGAGGTTGGCACACTGCTCACTGTTCAGATCTTTTCTGCTGCCTGTTTTCTTTCTTTTTTTTAAGAGATAGGGTCTCACTATGTTGCCCAGGCTGGCCTCTAACTCCTGGGCTCATGTAATCCTGCCTCAGCCTCCTGAATAGCTGGTACTATAGGTGCTCTCCACCATGCATGGCTTGCTGCTTGTTTTTCTGTGGTCCAAGCTAATGATGGCTTTTACATTTCTGAATGATTGAAAACAAAAGAAGAGTAATAGTTCATGTCATGAAAATATATATAAAATTCAAATTTCGTTGTCCATAAATAAAGTTCTGTGAAACATAGCCACACACTCATTTGTTCAGATATTGTGGCTGCTTTTTACTAACCACAGAGTTGAATAGCCATAGAAACTCTACAGCCATTTATGGAAAGTTTGCTGACCCCTGATCTGAATAATACTAATCTTGGTTCCGGCTTTGTTGTACGTATTCTGTTCTGTTGAATATCTTATTGCCCTCATGATCATTTTCAGTTAAGAAGGACTGCTACAACAGGCATGGAAACAAACTCTTATGGGACCACTAACCCTGTCTGCCGTCCAGGCAACCCTTGCTCTCTGCTTTCTTTAGCGTGCCATATCCCCTTCCCTTCTTTTCTCTCGAGCTTCTATTCCCTCACTACTATTGTAAATCTCTAGAGAGCATAAAAGGGGAAATTTAATTTTCTTTTATCTTTTCCTCCTCCTGAAAAGTAGAAAACAGTCAATAAACTTATATAAAATATTTAAGGTGAGTTTTATATTATTGTTTTTTTTTTTGAGATGGAGTCTGGCTCTGTCGCCCAGGCTGGAGTGCAGTGGCATGATCTCGGCTCACTGCAACTTTCGCCTCCTGGGTTCAAGTGATTCTCCTGCTTCAGTATCCTGAGTAGCTGGGATTACAGGCGCCTGGCTAATTTTTGTATTTTAGTGGACACGGGGTTTCACTATGTTGGCTAGGTGGGTCTCGAACTCTTGACCTCAGGTGATCCACCCACTTCGGCCTCCCAAAATGCTGGGATTACAGACATGAGCCACTGCGCCTGGCCTATTATTGTCTTTTTATTCAAAGTAATACCTCATAAGACTTAAGAAAGTTTATAGTATTAAATCTTTGTGGTTTACACTGAAATGGATTTATGTTGCTGCGGATTAACTGGAGTTTTGATTTAAAGGCAGAAATGTAAGTTTTATTGCTAATCTGTCATGAGATTAGAGTTACCAAAAAAAAAGTCAGTTTTATTGAATAGTAAACTTACATTTTAGTTGTGATTTAATTACAAAATAAGCATTACTAATAGTACTTGAAGGAAGTTTAAACATTTCTGAAATATTGGAACACAAGAACGTCTTTCCATGTTTTCCTCAGGAATGTAGTCTGAGATCCTGACAAGCACATCTCTCTGGCTAAATTGTCAAAGTACAATGTAGACTTGCATCTTCCTCTAATTTACCTCATACTTATTACTCTTCTGTAATATTTGAGGGGGAACTAAAGCACAGGTTGATTTTTTTTTTTTTTACAGTAACTCATCAAATCTTGAAATAAACTAACTTGCAGAAATAGACTTGTTTCCATCTGAGATTCAGTTGTTATAAATCTTTAAAATTTTTTGAAAGTGAAAAGCATCTATACAAAAAGGTAGAAAAATCTCACATCTCTTGCTCAGTAAATGATACTGAGAATAGACAGATTTGTGGCAAAATTTTATCAGTTAGAACTTGGGTTTTCTCTCATACTTCTCTTAAATCTAGAGGGCGTAATAATTGTCTTTCTCTTCTATTGTAATACATGAGTGTTTCTCATGTTTTCGATTTTTACAACTTATGTAAATAGCTATTACCATCTTCAAAAAGTTAGTAATTTATAGCTCTATTTTGAACAAAATTTAGGACTATAAGTTTGGCACATTTATGCACATGATCTAGATATTAATTAGAATATACAGCAAGCATTATTTCTTGAACAAACCAAATTATACTTAGTGCAGCTTTATATTTTAAAAGTAAAGTATCTCTTATCTCTAAATCTGTAAGGGACATTAAAATTTTAATTTAGGTTTCAGTTCTCCATAGATTTATTTTTTCCATTCTATAGAAAAGTGCCTTTCAGTCCTACTTCAGAATTTTTAAATCTTTCATCCTTTGTCCCCTAGAAGTATGTATGAAGATTTGGTATGTGAGATAGGATTTTTGTGAAGTTCCTTAGTTTGATAATATGTTTGTACAATTGTGTATTTGTTCCTAGAAATCAGCACATTAACATTTTCTGCTGATTTTCTTTTCTTTTCTTTTTCTTTTTTTTTTTTTTTTTTTAGCTTTTTATAGATTGTGTGACTTTGTGTGACTTTAAACAGGTTTTCCAGTACGGTTTATTTTGGTGGATTATTTGGTGAAACTAGGTTAATTTATGGATATAACTGCTGTGAAGGCTGGGCATGGTGGCTTATACCTGCACTTTGAGAGGTGAGGCAGGAGGATCACTTGAGTCTAGGAATTCCAGACCAGCTGGGTGGCTTATACCAGCACTTTGAGAGGCTGAGGCAGGAGGATCACTTGAGTCTAGGAATTCCAGACCAGCTGGGCAACAAAGTGAGACCCCATCTCTACAAAAATCATTAAAAAAATTTATCCAGGCAGCCAGGCATGGTGAGTGGCTCACGCCTGTAATACCAGCAATTTGGCAGGCCGAGGCGGGTGGATCACAAGGTCTGGAGATAGAGACCATCCTGGCTAACACAGTGAAACCCCATCTCTACTAAAAATACAAAAAATTATCCAGGCATGGTGGTGGGTGCCTGTAGTCCCAGCTACTCGGGAGGCTGAGGCAGGAGAATGGCATGAACCCGGGAGGCAGAGCTTGCAGTGAGCCGAGATCGTGCCACTGCACTCCAGCCTGGGTGACAGAGCGAGACTCCGTCTCAAAAAAATAAAAATTTTCCAGGCAGGCATGGTGGCACACACCTGTGGTCCCACCTACTCAAGAGGCTGAGGTGGGAGAATCACCTGAGCCTGGGAGGTTGAGACTGCAGTGAGCCTTGATCATACCATTGGGCTCCAGCTTGGGCGACATGTACCTGGTCTCCAAAAAACATATAAATAAATAAATCTACTTGTTCTGTGGATTTCATGACCCCATTTCATTTAAGCATACTTTCAAAGTACTCCACTGCCCCACCTATACCATTTGGAATATATAAATAGGAACATAGGGGATTTAATAGCTTAAAATTAAGAAACATCAAAACAAAACCAAGCAACCATTTTAGTATAAATTATTTGTAAGTTTATATCTTAAAACATTTTCATGTCTCATGGGAACAATTTTGCTTTTTTTTTGAGACAGAGTTTCACTCTTGTCGCCCAGGCTGGAGTGCAGTGGCACAGTCTTGGCTCACTGCAGCCTCCGCCTCCTGGGCTCAAGTGATTCTCCTGTCTCAGCCTCCCAAGTAGCTGAGATGACAGGCGTGTGCCACCATGCTCTGCTAATTTTGTTTTTTTTTTTTTTGGTTTTTTTTTTAGTAGAGATGGGGTTTCACCATGTTGGCCAGGATGGTCTCGAATTCTCCTCAGGTGATCCACCCACCTTGACCTCCCAAAGTGCTGGCATTACAGGCATGCGCCATTGTGCCTGGCCCAATTTGTTAAAGGTCTGAATAACTTTGAGCAAGCTACCCTCCTCTATAAAGTGGAAATAATAGTCGCTTCTACCTTAGAAGATTATTGTACAGATTAAATGAGGTCTTAAGGTTCTTAGAACAGTTTTTGAAAGTACCAGATATTAACTGTTGTTATTATTTATTCCTTAATTCTCTTTCATTTGCTTGGGCAAAATGCTAAAAAAATTTTTAAATGACTTTTTGGTTTTTTTTTCAGAGCAAGTGGAATTACCTGCTGTGGCATCAGTCAGTGCTTCAGTAATTAAATCTCCATCAGATCCCTCACATGTTTCTGTTCCACCACCTCCATTGTTACTTCCAGCTGCCACCACAAGGAGTAACAGTACATCTATGCACAGTAGCATTCCCAGTATAGAGAACAAACCTCCACAGGCTATTGTTAAACCACAGATCCTAACCCATGTTATTGAAGGCTTTGTGATTCAGGAGGGATTGGAGCCATTTCCTGTAAGTAGCAAGCATATTTGTGTGTGTGTTTGTAATTTATATAACATTATTTTAAAAGTTACATATTACTGTTCTCTAATAAAAAGCTTGTAATTTTATTTCAAGAAAGTTGTCCATTTTAATCTAGCATTTATCTTTCTACTTCCTTTATTTCCAAATGTTTATGTAGAATTTTATGCCAGCTAAGTTTAGATGCATAAACTAAGGGAAAAAATGAAAAAAATTTCAGGACATATTTTTATAATTTTTAGAGAAAGGTAGTTGGAAGTTTATTCAGTGAAATCAACTTTTATATTTTTTCTTTCTTTTTTTTTTTAGACAGGATCTTGCTCTGTTGACCAGGCTAGAGTGCAGTGGTGCGATCATGGCTCACTGTTACCTTGACCCCTGGGGCTCAGTTGATTCTTCTACCTCAGCCACCTGAGTAGCTGAGACTACAGGTGTGCGCCACCGTGCCCCACTAATTTTTGTATTTTTTTGTAGAGACAAGGTCTTGCCGTGTTTCTCAGGCTGGTTTTTAACTCCTGGGGTCCCAAAGTGCTGGGATTACAGGTGTGAGCCATGGCATGGCGCTCGGCTCATTTTTTCTTTTTAAGGGAACTGAAATGACAGCTGAAGTGTACTACTATTTTTATTTTTATTTATTTATTTGAGTTTTTGAGAGAGAGTCTCGCTCTGTCACCCAGGCTGGAGTGCAGTGGCACTGTTTCAGCTCACTGCAACCTCTGCCTCCCAGGTTTAGGTGATTCTCATGCCTTAGCTACCTCAGTAGCTGGGACTACAGGCATGCACCACCACGCCTGACCAATTTTTGTATTTTTAGTACCGAAGAGGGGGTTTCACCATCTTGACCAGGCTGGTCTCAAACTCCTGGCCTCAAGTGATCTACCGCCTCAGCCTCCCAAAGTGCTTGGATTACAAGTGTGACCCACTGCACCTGGCCATAAAGTGTATTATTTTAAATCATCTGAAGTTACATCTGAAGCTACCCAATTGATGGTTTGTAATTAGCAAATATATTTTCTCATTCCTAAATTTCAGCCTTCAATCATATTTTTCAAATGCTTTAAAATGTCCCGCTCAAAATGAAGGTCCTCTATCACTACAGGTCTTACAACTTGAAGCTAAGCTGTACATAATTTGTATGCTAATATCTAGAGATAAACATTTTTCCTTAGAAAATATATCAAAGACAAGCATATATAAAAATATGAAAAATTTTTTGAAGGCCTTTTGAGTCATCTGGATTTTCAGATTCATGGGTGAAAATCTTGCATTATGATAGATAGCTACCCAATCAGTTGTTTTTGTGTTCAATTTCGTGTGTGTGTGTGTGTGTGTGTGTGTGAGAAACTTGGATTTCCTATAACAATTCTCATACAGTGGATGGAGGAACAGTCTTTTTTCCCTGTCTGCTCCATACTGACTGGGTAACCTTTGTCAAGTCATTCAAACTTTCTGATCTTTATTTTGCTTATTTGTCAGGTGGAGACGGTGCTTTGCTCTTAGAGTTGTCGAGAGAACTAAATGTGCATAAATTATTCTGTATGGTACCTGGCACTTCATGGCCATAGCCATTATTATCTGTTATCACTAGTGAGAGCCATAACTTTTATTTTCACATTATAAAACTAATACATGTTCTAAATGGAAGATTTGGGAAATGTACAGGGCAAATGATCCCCATTAATACCACAATATGTTTATGTCTATATATACCACAGTACACATTAATACCACAGTATGTATATGTGTATACATATGTATTGTGGTATATATGTACATATGTATTGTATATATGTACATATACATACTGTGGTTTTAATGTATATGTGTTTGTGTATATAATGTATATATGTTATAGATACATACATATAATCAAGATTATGGTACATACAGTTCTCCTTTCACTGAGGAAATTTGAGTATTTTCTCATTATTAATAGTATTGGAAACATTTTGAAAGGTTACATAATATTTCACTTTATGAACATCCATAATTTATGTAATCTTTCCATTATTGTTGGACATTAGGTTTCCATTTTTTCACTGTTCAAATAGTTCTGAAAGGAATATCTATATATATAAATCATACACATTTTAAATAAGTTTCTTAGTATGAATTCCTAGAAATAGAGTTATTATGTCATATTACATAGATATTCATAAGACTCTTGATACGTATTGCTGAATTATTTTTTGGAAAATGATTTAAATTTATTCATCTGTGAGAAGTGTATGCCCTTAGCATTGAATGTGAGTTTTTCTTTAAGCAATAACTTCTGTAAATTTTAATTTCACTTGAGGCATATTAAATATCTAACTCAAATGAACAAAATGTTTAAAAAGTTTGTGAGTAATTATACTCTAAAGTTAAATGTAGAAGTTTCTGTCCAATAAGCTGTTGTTCCCCATATGTGGCAGATATTGGAGACTTAACCAGCATTCTTGAGGAATAAGATGTTCTAGTCATTCTGTTTTTTAAATTAGCTGAGGGCTCACCAGTGAATCAATGAATATATTTGATCTGAGTTGTTTTTGTTGAAAATACTTCTAAAATAGGTAGTATTCCTGAGTTAACCAAGTATACTGAATATAAGTGAATATTTTGATGTTAATTTGTTAATATTTGAGGATTTTCCATTTCTTTTGTGATTATAGTGGATTAGTTTGCTAAACTAGGATTCAGGAGACTTGAGTTCTAGTCCTCATTCTGTTTTTGTAAACAAATCACCTAAACATTTTGAATTTTAGTTTTCTTATCCAGAAAATACATCCAATAATTTTGTCTTGATCATTAACCCTACAAATAAAAAGCTTTGTGCATGAAAAATCTTAATTAGTTGAGGATACTGGCATGTCAGCATTTACTGATGATCTTTTGTTTGTCTTGCATTCGTATGGAAAACACTAAAATTGGCCGGGCGCAGTGGCTCACGCCTGTAATCCCAGCACTTCGGGAGGCTGAGGTGGGTGGATCACCTGAGGTTGGGAGTTCGAGATCAGCCTGACCAACATGGAGAAACCCCGTCTCTACTAAAAATACAAAATTAGCCAGGCGCGGTGGCACATGCCCGTAATCCCAGCTACTTGGGAGGCCGAGACAGGAGAATCACTTGAATCCAGGAGGTGGAGGTTGTGGTGAGCCAAGATTGCACCATTGCAACAAGAGCAAAACTGTGTCTCAAAAAGAAAGAAAGAAAAAACGCTAAAATTTATAAAGGAAAAAAGTTAGTCTCCACAAAGAACTTGAGAGAGAATTGCTTAATTGAGTAGACTTTTTAAAGTTAAAAAAAAAACCCAACTCTTAAATATACTGACAGTTATTGCCTTTGTTTTTCAGTGTTGGACTGAGCTACCAAAATATTTGCAGTGCAGGATAACTGGATGATTAGTATTAATTCTGAAGATAAAGAATTGCTGAATATTAAGACTTTTTTTTCAAAAACTCCTTGCCTAAACTCAGACAATAGGTTCCATTTGACAGAGACTTTGAAGCAGCTGTACTGCTGGTGACCAGAAATAAACCATTCATGTCCACTCTGCCTCATCTTTTCCCAAGGAATAAGGCACTTACTAAATGGATCTGATCAGTTGAACTAGTAAATTATCACAAATAGGTTTCATTTTAAGAGTTTTTTAAACCAAAGTATTTCTGAATGTCTTTTTGGAGATTGTTTCATTTTATTATTTCTCCTTTTTTAAAGGTGAGTCGTTCCTCTTTGCTAATAGAACAGCCTGTGAAAAAACGGCCTCTTTTGGATAATCAGGTGATAAATTCAGTGTGTGTTCAGCCAGAGCTACAGAATAATACAAAACATGCGGATAATTCATCTGACACAGAGATGGAAGACATGATTGCTGAAGGTTTGTGGGTTTCACTTAAGATACCCTTTAATTTAACTTTGACTTTTACTGCTTAAAACAGGATGTGGATTTTTATTCTGTACAGAATTTCACTGGAAGTATTCAACTTTTATTTTCATATAATGCACCATTTGACTAAAATAATGGGAAAGCTAATCAGACTCTCAATGGTCACATAACTAAAATAGCAAGATTAGTGCTAATTTCTTCAATGTCAGTTTGACTTTTGAAGGAGTGTGAGTGGGAAAAGTTCCATCATATGTGAGAGAAGGCAATTCAGAATTTTAGTATCAAAACAATCAATTTTCTTTCTTTTTTAAAGCAGACTTAAGTAACAAATGAGTATTTTAGTGAGTTAGCTTAAAATTTTAGAGCTTCTGGGTTGTTTCGTTTCAGACTTTCTGCATGCTGATGTTTGACATCAGGTGGATATTATAATTGTATTAAGTATATACTCTTCATTCAAGAGGTGGTTACATTTGTTCAACGAGAAAACTCCTTTTTTATAGACTTTATTCTAATAAAGAATGAAATAAGGCCAGGCACGATGGCTCATGCCTGTAATCCCAACACTTCGGGAGGCCGAGGCAGGCAGATCACTTGAGGTTAGGAGTTTGAGACCAGCCTGACCAACATGGTGAAACCCCGTCTCTACTAAAAATACAAAAATTAGCCAGGTGTGGTGGCATGCACCTGTAATACCAGCTACTTGGGAGGCTGAGGCAGGAGTATTGCTTGAACCCCAGAGGCGGAGGTTGCAGTGAGCTGAGATTGCGCCACTGTGCTCCAGCCTGGGTGACAGAGCAAGACTCCATCTCAAAAAAAAAAAAAAAAATAGGCCAGGCGCGGTGGCTTATGTCTGTAATCCCAGCACTTTGGGAGGCTGAGGTGGGTGGATCACAAGGTCAAGAGATCAAGACCATCCTGGCCAACATGGTGAAACCCCATCTCTACTAAAAAAAAATATATATATATATATAAATTAGCTGGGCCTGGTGGTGTGTGCCTGTAATCCCAGCTACTTTGGAGGCTGAGGCAGGAGAATCGCTTGAACCAGGGAGTCGGAAGTTGCAGTGAGCCGAAATTGTGCCACTGCACTCCAGCCTGGCGACAGAGCTAGATTCCGTCTCAAAAAAAAAATGAAATAAAGTAAATAGAAGTCCAAGTGGTATCCAAAATGACTGAAGGAAAGCAAACAAAAATGAAAATGAAAACGGTATTTTATACCTTGAATTTGCTATTTAAAAGCAGCAAAGTTTTTACTGTTTTTTGGGCTGAGATTCTGAATTGCCGTGTTCTATAGGAGCATCTTTTTGATCATGGCCCTTCAGGTGATAGAGTTCAGTTTAATGCAGTAGCATTTAGAATAGTCAAGGCCCTGTAGTAGTGAATTAACACTTGTGTCTAAGTAATTATCCTCAATGTATTAGTATATTTCATTAAAATTAATTTATTCACTTTACAAATATTTATTGAGCCTATACTGTGTGCCTTTACTTCGCTAAATTAAGCGAAATAGCATGCTGGTAAGCAAACTAGATACTGTCTTTGCCCACAGATTTTCTAACTTAAAAGGATGACATCTCTGACATTGTTAGCTCTTTATAAACTGTTGCAACATGTGAATCACCGTTTTACTTCTTATTTGAACAGCAAGGAGTATATTAGTTTAAAATTTGATTTTTACTACTTATTCTGAGTTCAGTTTGATTGGTTTTAATTTGAAAGAATGTTAACCTTGAAAAATTTCAAACATTCATTAGAATCGTATAATAAATCCCCAGTCACCCAGACTCAACATTATCACCCAATTTCAACATTATTTTGCCACAGTAGCTTCATTCATTTTGTTTCCTTCCTCCATTCCTAACCCCCACCCTTCTTTTTTCTTCTCTCTTCTCCTCTCTTCTCTTCTCTTTCCTTTCTTTCTCCTTCCTTCTTTCCTTCCTTCCTTCCTTCCTTCCTCTTTCTTTCTCTCTCTTTCTTTCTTTTTCCTTCCTTCCCTTTCCTTTCCGTTCTTTTGTTCTTTCGTTCGTTCGTTCCTTCCTTCCTTCCTTCCTTCCTTCCTTCCTTCCTTCCTTCCTTCCTTCCTTCCTTCTTCTTGTTTTAAAGAAAATCGTAGTCACCGGTACATACGTCAGTGTGCCTCTCTCAAAATAATACACATTTCCTTATAATGCCATATCACACATAGCAAAATAATAATTCTTTGGTGTTATATAATACCTGGCCAATATTCATATTTCCCTAACTTTTTAAAGTCATTTTATAGTTATTTAGTTAAATCAGGTTCCAAATAAGGTCTGTATTGTGCCTTTTGTTTTTGTGAATTTCATTTCCTTTAATTCTCAAATACTGTCTTTTAATTGCACATACTATTTTATCTGAGAGCATTCTCATGTGAAGTGAAAAGTAACAAAGAATGTGCAGGTATTCTTTTTTTCTTGGCCTATATCTACAATATGTATATAAATGAAAGTTCTAGGCTAAAAAGTATTTATAATGTGTCTCCCTGTGTACACAATAGGAAGAACATGGAAATCTGCTTAGGAAACTTTACAACATATAGTGTGATCCTCAGTTTATAATATAATGGACATATAGTATATGTTAGACTATTCTAGAACATGACAGGTTATGTATGTATATATTATTTACATACATAAAGAAGTAAAATACAATCCGCTTTCCCTCCAGCAGCTTTTAATGTAGTTTGGAACTAGGAATCTAGGGAATCTCCATACAGAAAGGTAACGAAGGAGCTACAGATGGTATAGTCACACTGAATTATATAGACAGAATTTAGAACTTTAAAACTGGCTAAGATTATTCCTAGTTTGGTGGGTTTCCTATAAAAATGAGATTTGAAGTGGGTCGTGGATTTAATGCATAGATTTAGGATAAACAGCGAGAACATTTCAGATTAGAACACTAAGTAAACGCACTAAGAATGTGTAAGTGCTAGGTAACTTCGAGAGAGGGCAGTGAAGAGTAGAGGGTTGGATTAGAGGGGTAGTGGGAAGTATGACTGGCAGAGTGAGTTTCTGGAGAACCTTGGATATTAGACAAGCAAGTTTGAAGTTAGGTGGATGGTTTGAAGGTGGGTGGATAGTACTGAAGATTTTTAGGAAGGTGTTACGAATAAAAGAGTGTTTTTGGAGACTTTGATGGCCGTCTGTAGGATGTATGTATAAATTTTGCATGTAATTGACACCTGTAGTCATGGCAGGAAGAGGAAGGAAAGGACTGATGTTCTCAAAGGAAAGGACTGATGTTATCATATCAGCAGGATATGATATCAGAGTAAGGAAAGGAAGATGTAGAGATAATATATTTCATAGGGGAGAAATGTTTACATAAAATGTGCTAAAATTTTAAATACTTTCTAGTTTTAATTTCCCAAGGTAATTTTATAATTTTCATGTTTCTGTTACTATGTACTTCAGTGTTTATAGGAAGTACTATAGTGTAAAATGGTGAGGTCACTTATTTAGTGGCTTTGGTTTTAGTAGTATATATAGTTTCAACATAAAAAACCTCTGGTAAGCATATAAAGGATAAACTGTGGTTCTCTTTAGACTGGTTCTATAATGAGAGTCTCCAACCAGTAGATTGTGATTCATCAAAGTAGCTTATGGTCTTCCTTGGTATATCTTCACACTGATTATGATTTCCATCTCATTGCCTCTTTTTGCTGCTGTCCTCATGTGATTTCAGGTCTTTGGGGGAAATAAAAAATAACTTCCCCTCATGCCAGAAAATGGGGGATCTAGATTAGGAAGCAGGTTTGGCCACTTCAGTAGAGATCCAGAATAATATTTGATTAAAGAAGATAGGAATTTAATTTTCTCTGACATAACCCAAAGATCAGTCCAGGGCTTATGTGGTAGTTCCTTAGTATTGGGCACTCAAGCTCCAGGGTCTTATGTCTCTGTCATCTGTAGAATGTTACTTTTATTTCCAAGATGGCTGATCTTCATGATCACATTCTAACCAATGAGATGGGGGAAAGAGCACCATCTGGAATTTGTGAGCATTTACAGTCATATGCCATTGGTTACAAATCAGCCACACCTAGGGCAGAAACTTGTTTTTAATCTGGGTGGCCATGTTCGTAGGGTTTTGTTACTATGGGAGAAAAGCAAAGAGTGGATGCTGGAGAATTACCAGCTGTCTCTGCCATAGAATCCCATTTTTATTAGCTAAATCAGCAGTTTTAAAAAAGTGTTTTGGCAGTTTTCTAATTCATAAATGTAAAAGAGTGACCTTGGTAATATTACCAAATTTGTTAAAAATCTGACTGAACATTAGAACAAGAATTTTTGAATCTGTTAATGTCCCTCGCTTCTTTATGAGAAATAAAACTTATACTACTCTTATTTTTGTTCGGTTAACTGTAAACCATTTCTGTTTGGTATTTCCTCTCTGTCACCAACAAAAACATTTCCTTCTCCTTCATAAGGTATTCTGACTTAATATCAGGTGTTGGACATTGCTATGTTAATTAACAAAAGATCTTTGAAACAAAGCTTTTAGCATATCCTGTTCCTGGAATAACCCTGAGGAATGGACTCTTTCAGGGCTGGAACTAATGGCAGTGGTGGTTGAGTGAGAAGTTCTGTCTCCCTATAGGCTTCTCAGTCAGATCAGATTATAGTAAGATCAGATTATAAGCATGACAAAATAAAAACAGTACTTCTAGGAATTATGTTTTCAGGTCTCAGGAATGTGTTGGTGGATCTCCTGACTGGGCCGTTGGAAGGTCATTGGAAGGGGCAATTTTTAATTTACTTGTTTTGAGACTGTTTCTTCCTCATTGCTACTAAATTGATGACTTTTGCTTATGAAGGTAGTCCTGAGAATTTCCTTAAACTGGTCACGTGTCAGTTCATGATTTCATTATTCAGGATAATGTATTTGGATGCCCCACCAATGTCAAATATTAATTCACAGTTTGTTTTTTTAGTAGTTCTTGCTACTTCACTTAATTTAGCACTTTGCCATCTGCTTCCCCAGTAAAACTGAGGTAATGTGAGTACCTGAGCTCACTGAGTACATGCCACCCATGTCTACATTTCTGAGTCCTTGTATTTATCTTAGTCTTTATTAAATGAGTAACATAGAAAGAGCACACATATGGAGTTCACAGCTAAAAGCTTTAGTTAGTAAAATGCTTTTCAGTAAAATGCTTTTGTTGCTTTTTTTAATATGACTTGGCAGAGGAATTATGATGATGCAAGAAAATGGCAAAATGTGGTTGATTTAAGAATTTAACAAGTTTTACCAAAGTATTTCTTGAGCGCTATTACATGTCATACTACCCTTTTAGTTCTTATGTGGAAAATAGGAAATGGAACTATCACTTTTAATGCCTACTACCTTTTGGGCACACATATAATTGCCACTTCAATTCTTTGGGAAATGTATTATAAACCCCATTTTACAGATGAGAAAATTGTGGGTCATGAAGATTTAGTTGTTTGCTTATGGGTGACTCCTGCCGAGTACCCGGGGATTTAGCATGGAAGGGTCTTTGCGCTTTGTGTTACTGCCTGAAGATAGTTACATATGTAGGGTGGAAGAAGGACATTCTAACTTAGTAGGGAGCACCCATTAAGTTAAAGAAAAGCATGATGAAAAAAAGCATCAGTGGTTGGGAATTATGAAACTGATTTTTAAGCCTAGTTTTTATTTTAATGCAATATAACTAAAAGGAACTGTTTTATAATTAGATATATGCATCTTTTTAAAGAATTTTATGTATGTATATATATGTATGAATGAGATGGGGTCTTGCTATGCTGCCCACACTGGTCTCAAACTCCTTGTCTCAAACGATTCTTCTGCCTCAGCCTCCTGATATATGCATCTTTATATATTTTATCATATACTGCAGATCTTCGAGAGAGTTAATTATTTTGCATGCTCCTGTAAAATCAGACATATCACAATTTCACCATTTTGAAGCCATCTTTATTCTCTCCAGTTAGAATTAAGAGTTCCCTGCTATGTATCTCCACAGTGCAATTTATCAAAATTCATATCCCACCCTCAGCTTTTTGAAAGTGTTCCTCCTGGAGGATAATGCCTATGTTATTCATCTTCATTTCTCTCCCAGTGTTTATAAATAATTTTTTTTTACATTTTAGATGGATTGTAAGCAAGATGAACCTTTTAAAATGTTATGCTTATTTATATAGAAAGAAACTCCTTGTAATTTTTATGCAGAAGCAAGAGGGAATTAGTAGCAGTGGTTGTGTTTTGAAGGCTTTTGCCCTGCCAGAGTGGCTGTGGATTGAAAAGTTAAAGGGCCATTGGTTTGCTAGCAGTATCCAACCAAAGTATAGACTTAAAGAAAATTTGCATAATTAAATTTTTGGAACCTTTTTTTCCTTTGTTTCCTTCTTTTTTAGAGACATTAGAAGAAATGGACAGTGAGTTGCTCAAGTGTGAATTCTGTGGGAAAATGGGATATGCTAATGAATTTTTGCGGTCAAAACGATTCTGCACTATGTCATGTGCCAAAAGGTATTTCTGTGCTCTTGAATTTCCCAAAGGACAGATAAATAGCCATTGCAACTAAACCAAAAAACCCTTGAATAGCTTACCAAGGATAACTATAGATATTTTAATATGTAATATTATAGAAGAAACCTAGATATTATTATATAGAAGAATAATACAAATAGGCAGTATCTGGAGCCACCTAGTATTTAGTTACTAGATTTTGCTTTGCGAAAATTACATATTCATAATACTTAAAATCAATTGTACAGTATAATCTAATATTAAAGTAGTAATCTCCTGATGGTAAGAATATATTTAGGAGAATCCCTTCAATGAAGTCATCACGATTTCATCATGATTATATAATACTAGTCCTTAAAGTATCAAAAACAGTATTTGTTTTATCAGCTGTTTTATCATTATTGAAATACTTTGATTTACTTTGTGTTGTTTTAAAATGTTTTCATTTGTTTGAATCATCCTATTTATTTTAGATTTCTTATGGGACAGCTGTAGTATAAATTCCCCACACTGTTAACATTATCAGACAGCAAAATACTTGTCTTTTCTGAATTAGTATTTTCAATAGTCATTATTTCAGATAAGTAGTATTTTTTTGTTTGTTCGTTTGTTTGTTTTTGGATATAGAGTCTTACTCTATAGCCCAGGCTGGAGTGCAGTGGTGCCGTCTCGGCTCACTGCATCCTCCACCACCCAGTCTCAAGAGATTCTCCTGCCTCAGCCTCCTGAGTAGCTGGGATTACAGGCACCTGCCACCATGCCCAGCTAATTTTTGTATTTTTAGTAGAGATGGGGTTTCACCATGTTCGCCAGGCTGGTCTCAAACTCCTGACCTCAGGTGATCTGCCCGCCTTGGCCTCCCAAAGTGCTGGGATTACGTGTGTGAGCCACCACGCCTGGCTGATAAATAGTATTAATAACAAAATAAATGTTTAGTCTCTTCATTAATCGTATAATTCCCAAGTTTGGTTTATGTTAAAGAACCCCACCCTAATTCCAGTAATAAATCCTAGTAATACAGATACTTACCACTAAAGTTGAAGTGTGTGCACACTATTTTGAAATTGGTTCTCTGTTCAAAAAGGTAATTATTCTTTCAAAGGATTTAAGATCTTCAGTAGGATGACTATAGCTTGTACTGTATTTCAAAATAGGTAGAAGAGAATTGGAATGGTTCTAGCATGAAGAAAAGACAAATGTTTAAGATGTGGATATCCCAAGTACACTGATTTGATCGTTACAGATTATATGAATGTATTAAATTATCACACATACCCTAAAACTATGTACATCTATTATGCATCCATAAAAAATAAATAACCTTAACCTCATGAAAAAAATTAATATAATTGCATACATCTAGGGAATTTCTTACTTGAATATTTTATTTCGTATAGGTTATTTCCAAAATATACTTAGTAAAACTTAAGTTAAATAATAGAAGTGTTTTCCTCCAAAATTGGGCTCATTGTTTTGGTTGTCAATCTGTTTTTCAAATATGCTTTGATGTTACTGATAAATCAATAATCAAATTATGTAACTCATGTTTTAACTTGAGTTTTCTAGTTTGCATATACCACAAGAAAGAACAATGGTTATCTGATTCTAAGTGATTTAAAAACTCTAAAAATTTGGGGAAAGGACTCCCTTTCAGAATATTTTAAACTTCTTGACTATTTAAAAATATTTGAGAACACTTAATGCTGCCATCAGTCTTCTCTCAGAGATGATTGCTGAGCTGTCACATTAGTATCCTTTCGATGAACCTCTTTAGCAGGGTAGGGGCCCTAACAGGGAAATGTGGATGAGAGAGGGTAGATTAGGTCAGGGAAGAACCATTGCCATTTACATGTCTGCCTAGCTGTCTTGGAAAGCTAAATATTTAGGGACAAAATATCAAGTATAAAGCTAGCCTCTTTTCTATTCTTTTCTTAACGGATAAAGAAGTTTTATCAGTTGATATAAATGGAAATCAGAAACCTACATTGCTGAGCCCACAAATGAGCACATTATGAACACAGCAGGATCTCGAATTGTTTTAGGGTAAAATGAATTGGCTATCAAGATACTTATATTTTTATGGGAAAAATAGCATATTCATTATCATAGTACTTTTTATTTCCACCTCTTGATATCTTTATAAAATGTAGGTGAGGAGAATTTGTTTTGGTGTCAGCATACTGGTTCTAGAATAGTTAGCAATAGCAAAGTTAATTGGGATTTATTCTTGTAACTTTCTTGGAGCAAAGGAATTTTGAAGGGTAGGTGTGGTGGCACATGCTTGTAATCCCAGCACTTTGGGAGGCTGAGGTGGGAAGATTGCTTGAGCCCAGGAATTTGAGACCCACCTGGGCAACATAGTGAGACCCCCATCTCTACAAAACAGATTTTTGAAAATAGGTTACCAAGGCGTTTCATATATGTAAAAATGAAACTGCATATATTTTTCCTAGCTTTGCATAGCTTTTCAGAAATTTGTTTCTTAGATCATTTCTTCTCACTCTTCTTTCTAGGGAAAGGTTGGCAAACTCACCCAGGCCAGGTCTTTCCCATTGTTCATTTTTTTGTATGGGCTCATGAGCTAAGGATGATTTTGAAATTTTTAGTTTGTTGGGAAAAAAATCAAAATAATATTTCATGATACATGAAAATTATGTGAAATTCAAATTTTACTGTTATTGTTACTGAAAATTTTACTAGAACACAACCATGCTTATTCAATATTTTCTATTTATTTTTTATTTTTTTATTTTTATTGTTTTGAGTCAGGGTCTGGCTCTGTCACCTGTGCTGGAGTGCAGTGGCGCTATCACAGCTCACTACAACCTTGGCCTCCTGGGCTCAAGCCATCCACCCACCTTAGCCTTCTAAGTAGCTGGGACTACAGGTGTGTGCCAGCACACCTGGCTAGTTTTTGTATTTTGGGTAGAGACGGGTTTTCACCGTGTTGGCCTTGAACTGGTCTTGCCATTTACTGGTCTTGAACTCTGGAGCTTAAGTAATCCACCCACCTTGGCCTCCCAAAGTGCTGGGATTACAGGTGTGAGCCACTGGGCCTGGCTCAGGGTATTTTCAATGGCTGCTTTCACACTACAGTGGCAGAGGTGGGTAGTTGTGACAGAAACTTATATGGCCCATGAAACTTAAAATATTTACCATCTAGTCCTTTGTAGAAAAAGTTTGCCAGTCCTGGTTCCAGGGCTTTAGGATCCATTAAAAGACATAGGATTCTTTTAAGCTGTCATCATGTCTTATAAAGGTCTATGTTCAAAAATACTAGGCAGTCTATTGTGATAAAAGAAAATCTTTCATTAAAGAGTTATATACTTCTAAATTTTCTGAATAGTGAGAGCAATGAATTCCTTGTGTAACTTTAAAATCTCCACTTTACATTTTCATTCTTTGATTTTAATAATATTTGAAAAATCTTTTGTTAGCTGCTTGAGATCCTCTCCCTAGTATATTAAACTTTTAAAAATTAATGTCTCTTTGGAAGTTATTACTTAGAAAAATCAGATTGAATAAACATTTAGATACTACATAACTTCTTTTTCTTTCGGAACCTTCCATTTTTTTTACTGCTATGAAAATTGGTTATCCTCTGTATTTTGCAGGCAGTTTCCCACTGTCATGCTGTAATCAGGAAAAAATACAATACCTTGTTATAGATGTCCAGTATTATATTGAGAGATATATTATGGTATACACAGAGCCTGTTTTTTGACCTTTAGCATAAGTAAATCCATTGAACAGTGTAGTTACTTTATGAGGTCTTACATTCATTAATGATGTATTGTGGTACTTACTGATTCACAGTTGCACTTTAAAGTCACAATTAAATACTAAATGGATTGTCCCATATATCATTAAATATTTTTTCTTTCTTGAATTTCTTAGGTACAATGTTAGCTGTTCTAAAAAATTTGCACTTAGTCGTTGGAATCGTAAGCCTGATAATCAAAGTCTTGGGCATCGTGGCCGTCGTCCAAGTGGCCCTGATGGGGCAGCGAGAGAACATATCCTTAGGCAGGTCTGTATAAACCTTGCTTCAATGTAAAATACCCTTTTCAGAAATGCAAGGAAAGTGCAATGCTGTATTTTGCTTGTACTACATTTTCCAGCTTCCAATTACTTATCCATCTGCAGAAGAAGACTTGGCTTCTCATGAAGATTCTGTGCCATCTGCTATGACAACTCGTCTGCGCAGGCAGAGCGAGCGGGAAAGAGAACGTGAGCTTCGGGATGTGAGAATTCGGAAAATGCCTGAGAACAGTGACTTGCTACCAGTTGCACAAACAGAGCCATCTATATGGACAGTTGATGATGTCTGGGCCTTCATCCATTCTTTGCCTGGTATGTAATTCATCACTTTGGCCTTAATATTTTTCTTGTGCATTCACACACAGCAATGTTAGATACATCCACACCTTTTGCACAAAAGGGCTAGAGAAGTACTGTGTATATGTATAAATAAAATGACATTTGTTATTGAAATATGATCTGTTTCCTCTTGCTTATTCCCTCAGCACTACTGGGTATTTTCTCATACCCCCCAAGTCGATAAAAACTGACTAGTCCTGCTTCTGCTGTGACACCTCAGCCGGTGAAGATATTAAAGGTGCTTTCTTCTCTTCAGTCTGATTTCTCTCGAGAGGTCAGTAGAGAGATTGAATCAGACACTTCTTCCTTTCTGCTCTTCTATTTTTCTATTCTATTCCTCCTTATTTCCTAATTTAACCTTTTAAAAAATGAAGTAAGAGAGACTTTTTTCTTTTTTTTACATTTTTGAAAGCTAATCAAAACCTTTTAAAATGTAAAAATTTGGTTTCTTTGAAAAAATCAAGCTAGTCCTTTTAAAAGAAGGTACATTCTTTGATTCTTTTCAATAAATAAACATCAAGAGCCTTTCTGAAATTTTATTTTTCAAATAGAGAGCTGAAATTCAATTATATTCATTCTAATATTGAGGGTAACTTTCTTATTTATGTTTTCCTGTTCTCTCATTTTGATACTCTTTCCATCACCTTAAGTCTCTATCTTTTTTCCTTAAAACAACAATAATCTTTTATATCCACCTTCTCCAAGGGGCTGGCTACTAAAGACAGCTGCACCTTTGCTCATGATGAGACCCACACTAGTTATATATGTTAAGACTATACATATATGTATATATATACTTTTTTAAATCAGTAAATCTTGTCATTCACTTTGACCTTACGCATATGGAAAATGAGGAGACTAAAACAAAAAATTTATTTCCTTTTGGTTTTATTGCGAATCATATCATTTCTCTTGATACAAGCTTTCTAGAAGAATACATCCTATTTGAACTTGTCTACTAACTTTTTACAGTTTAATAAGCTAATTAATCAGCTGTTGTTGCTAATTAGTCTTTCTCTGATGGCAACTAAAGTCTTGGAAGCATACTTAGAGCTAACATGCTATACAAGAAAATATATTTAGGAATGATAGTTGTAAAGAATCCGTCACCCACTTTACCTCATATACAGAATTCTGTGAGATTTTGTTAAATTAGTTTATCAATAGCTTGTTTTAGAAATGCTAAGTTTTAAAAAAATATGGCCACTTTTAAAGAAAGATGGAATTGTTTAAAGTGGAGATACTTCATGGGAAGATTTTTAAACATGTGCATGTGCCCACGAAAACTTAGATGTGAGTTAATTGCTGACCATGTGGATTTAGAATCTGTTTTAAACTGGGTGTATTTAGAAGACAGTGGGTCTTCATTGGTTGTGGTTTTAGTATCTAATGAAACCAGTTTTAGTTTTTAGACCAGTATAGCTATCTTGAGAATTAACTTTGGAGTCTATGTGGATACCTGGGGCTGGGCTTTGATTCTGTCATCTTCAGAAGTAGTGTCACTCTTCCAGGTAGGGCACATGATCTGTTTGTGAGCCTGATTTTTCATTTGGGGGAAATTTTTCTTTTCCTTTGCAGAAGAGAGTTGGTTTATATCCTGAGAAAAGTAGTTGCCCAAATAATTAACAAATATGGATACTGCTGATTCTTCTTTCACTTCTTTTTTTATTTAGGCTAATTTTCCCCAGCATCCTTTGCCATGTGGCTACTTTACCAGAACAAAGGCAAATTCCTTTGCCTCATTCTTGCATCATTTGAGTTAAAAAAACATAAAACTTAATATTCCTCATAACTTAAAATGCTTGTCTTATAGAGTTCATCTAGACACTTAATTTTGTTGCCAGGTATTTAGAAAACATTATATATCATAAAAAGGACACAGCTATTATATAATTTAGAATTGCTTACTACTATTTTAGAGTCTGGTTAATATGACTCTCTTCTTTACTTATGAAATGGGAGTGTTTCCAAACTGCTTTGACAGGCCAAATAATAAGCTTATTTGTGTGATTAGTTGTATCACCTTTCTCACAGTTTTCTCTGCATAATGCCTATAGTTTAAGGTAATCTCATACCAGAAAATGCCTTAGTGTTCATTTCTTTCTGCTTCTCTGGACTTTGTAAATTTCGTTTTGAGCTTCTTTTAGCTCTCATTAAGCGCTGTTTGTTTTCCCTGAGTAGTCTACTCCCAAGCTTTTCTCATAGGATGAACAAGCTTGTAAATTTTGTAATCTCTTTTGTATTTTGTTTCTTTCCAGTTGAGATAGGCTTCCTTCCCTCTTTAACCAGGGCATTTATATTTACTCCTCCAGTTTTCTCTTCTCTTTGTATATCGTCTTGTTAACCATCCTGTTCAGACTATGTTAGAGCTTGTATGCAGTAGACCAGAATCTCAGAGCTGTTAACAGAATGAAAAATTACCGCCTTCTAATTTTCTCTGCATTAAAAAGTTATCTACAGGAATAATTCTTATTTTCAATTTACTGCGGGTTATCTTCTTTAACCTTTCCTTGCTATGGTGAACTGCCTTTTGCAGAGATCAGTTTGTCCTCTGTTTATTGAAGGGTGAATCCACAGTAGATTTGATTTTTCTGTAGGCATATAAACTAGGAATCATTTTTTAAAACATGACTATTTACTGGTTTTTGTAATATCAGTATTGGGACTTGTTTATTCTGTAGTATTGAGTGGCAGGTGATACCTTTTCACCAACCTTACTGTGGTCAATTTTTGTGCAGGGTGTTTTATTTTGAGTTTAGCTGGAGAAGTGATGCCAGACACTTGAAAGATCAGTTGGGACCCATGTGCAGAGGTCCTTGCCTGTGCTGAGAGCTGCACTACACTTGCTTCTGGTGAGGTGAAGCTAGCTCAGCTGACTGGCTGTGTCAGTTGGTGTATGTTTTGTACACATCCCCGGGATCCAGGCATTTTACCAAAGTAGATGTTAATGTCAGAAACTCAGAACTTTATCTCAGTATACCTTGAGCACTTAAAATTGTTTTTAAAATATATTTTTCTGTAATGAGATTCTGGAAGCATACTTGCTTCCAATTTTTCTAAGTCACTTTTTTTTAAATTTCTATACTGATGTAACTATACTTTTTTTGTGGTTAGCTTAAGAAAGTTGTGATCTAAAATGCATTCCTATTTGATCGTGCTAATTCCCAAAACACTTTTTGTTCTATATTATTTTGCTAATACATTTACTGTTCACCTACAAGAGGATATTTGAAGAGGAATCTCACAATACAGAGGAACAGGAATGTGCTACATATTTTCCTCATGGAGAACTCCTTGTTTCTATTCCCAAATGTAGCTCTTATAGTTCTCATTACTTCTCATTGCTCTTGTTTTCTGAATCTAAGTAAGTCCCACCCTATCTTTCTCTCTCTTCTTTTCTTTCCTGTGTTCTTGTAAGTAAGACTGAAGAGAGAAGAACATTAGTTCTTTCATAAAAAGAAGGATGAAGTCACAACTAGATGCAAGATTAGTCAGTTTTGTCTGCCCAGTTTTGTTGAGAGCTACCTCTGGGAAAAGAAAAGGGGCTTTTCTATGGTGAGTAATCCCATTTCAACTATAGTTTCTTTTATAAGATAAATGTGCAAAAGCATAATAATTTCGTAGAGGGTATTGAAATGTCAATTTTTCAAAGTCTGAGAAATTATTAAAATAGAAATTGAAAAGCTAGTTGTTATATAGGAAACAGTAAAGATACAAGTAACAGAGGACGTGAGAAAAGAAATAAGCAAGAGAAAAAATGGACACACAGCTGTACACAGGAAAAAATGTTTGTATTACTCTTACAGATAGCTCTTCTATAGCAGATTATATTTTTGTTTATTGTGTATTCACTAATTCAGTCCTTATTGACAAATATTATGTATTCAGTACCTATAATGCTTTGTGCTTTGTGCTGGGGTTGTAAGACATCATAATCTTACATAAACAAGAGGATGATACATTTGCAAGTAGAAAGGATAATTGAACTAGCAAAATTGTGGCATCCAAAAGTGTAATGTAACTATTTTCATTTTTCATTATCTTTTTCTTTGTGTTTTCCCTTAGAATGCTGATTTGAATAAAATAGAAAAACTTAAGCTGTCAGTTTTTATGTGTATTCTTAAATTCATCTTAAAATTTTACTGTCTCTCAAGAAAGCTTCCATATTTTTATATTCTCTCATCTCAGCTACTTAATTGATTACCTTTCCTATTGGTTTCTTTACCCTTAATGGGTAAGTTTATTGAGTAATTTGGATGTGAAAATTTGGTAGACAGTAAAAACATTTGAGTTTCAGGTAGATACTAGCATTGTTACCTGCTAAAGCACCTGGTTTAGACTGAGAGCTAAAATATTGGTTATATGGCAGGAAATTCGCCAGCAAGCTCATAATTTCAATGAGAATTGTTTTCTTAACAAAAGTGGAGACAAGCCCAGTGATAGTCAAGTCAAGCAGCGTAATACATTTCAGCAGCATTGCAATAGATTGGTAATACAGTCTTGAGAAATTTGATATGTCCCGAGTGAACAATAAAAATATTTTAAATGTACTTTTCAAGTGAAGGTCATAAATTAGGATAAGGTACAAATGATAATGAAAGTGGTACTTACTTGAGAAAATATTTCTAGATTGTTATTTAAATGACAAAACATATTTTTGTTTCCTCTTTACCTATATGTGAAGGATATATTATACAGAGATAAGTGCATGAGGTATAACTAGTTAACCCAAACCTGTTATGTGGCATGCTTTGAGGTAACACCATAGTCCTTTTTGTGAAGGAAGTATTATATCTAGACTTCCCTCTTATGAATTATTTCTATAACATTATTTTAGAGCAAGAATTCCAAGCAAATTGCTTTACCTGGATTTTGAATTCTTATTTTCAGAATGCAAATACTCTATTCTTCAAGAGTGAACTCAAGACTACCATAAATAAATTTCATTTGTTTCTCAGCCTGTATTTCAGATTCTCAGACCCAGTGAGAGCATAACTGTGACTGTTAGGAGTAATGTCTAATTGTTGTATATTTAATTCTAACTTCTGTCCTCTGGTCAAATTCCAGGCTGCCAGGATATCGCAGATGAATTCAGAGCACAGGAGATTGATGGACAGGCCCTTCTCTTGCTGAAAGAAGACCATCTCATGAGTGCAATGAATATCAAGCTAGGCCCAGCCCTGAAGATCTGTGCACGCATCAACTCTCTGAAGGAATCTTAACAGGAACATGAAGCCTTGATAAAACAGCAGTTTTACTTTTCTCACAAAAACTTGTAAGGTAAAGGCCTAACTTGGTCTAGAATATGACACTTATTGTGGTGGATAGCCAAGCACATTGGGATCTCCACATCAAATACTGACATTTCTTCTACAGGTATAATAATTCATCATGCATTTTCATAATTAATAAACATTGGTAAAATTAATTTTACAGGTTACATGAAACATTGAAAGACTTGTTACAGAGGGCCATGATATTTTTCAAAGAAATGTGTTATACTAGATAATTTTTTTAAAGGTGATGTTTATCATTAATATAAAGAATCCTTTTAAAAGTAATTTAATGATTTACATTTCTCCTCTTTTGATTCAATTTTCTTATACATTTTTTCTACCCTATTAGTTTTCTAAAGGTTGTCATGAGAGGTATATTATGGAATAATTTAGTAGTCCAGTGACAGAATCGTATGAAATCAGTGTACATTTTAAAAAACATGTCTTTTAGACATATGCTTTATCTATAAAAAAGGAATTGTGTTCTAGTATGAACAATACTGATCTGGAAGTGAGAAGAGTTAGTTTCTATTCCAAACTTGACCAAGAATTTGGTTTGACTGAGAACGTTTTCCTCTCAGTTTTTGTACATTTATTTAGAGCAGTGGTTCTCAGTGGAGGTCAGTTTTGATCGCCAGGGGACATCTGGCAATGTTGAGACATTTTGGTTGTCACAGCTTGGGGGTGGGTTCAGGGGAGGGTTGCTACTGGTGTCTAGTAGTTAGAAGCCAGAGATGTTTCTAAACATCTTATAATGCACAGGACAGCACCCCTCCACTGTAAAGAATTATTGGTTCAAAAATATCGGTACTGCCAAGGTTGAGAAACTCTGATATAGAAGGAGTGATAAATATTGTTTTCACCCAAAGGAATACTTTTAAAGGATGAAGCTTACTAAACATATATGATGGAAGTATTATTCAGATAACATTAATATTCTGCTGAATAATTTTTTCTAGTTTAATCATACTAGAAAAAGAAAAAAAATCTACAAATTGTCCTATAAAATAAGGACAAACATGCAAATAATTTAACTCTCAGAAAGTACTAATTCATTCTGATTATCTTTCATACCTCTGTGCTCCTCTGCACTGACGAAGACATAATATGATTATACCTATGAACTAGTGCACAGCCTTTTCTGGCAAGAAAATAGTTTGTAGCAGATACGTGGTTGCTCTTTGGATTTTTTTCTATTGTTGAACATGCTGGGACTAGCTAGAATGCACATTCCTACTTCCTTTACCAAACGTTTGCATGCTTCCTGCAAAGCACTTACCAAGTGATTTCTCTTGAACCATCGGATATAATTTTGTATGTACATGTTTGAGGAAAAAAATGTAAAGCAAAACCTTTTACTGAACAGTGTTCTATAGAATTATGACACTAAAACAAAATTGTTTGTGGAAGCCCTGAAAGCTTTATAGTCCTGGACATCAAAAATTTTATTTGAGATGATGAATGTTTTGTTTTCATCTTTTCTTATATTACCACAATTGAGATATTTTAGTAATTGAAGGAACATACACAGATATTTGGCAGAAGTCGAGTAAGGAGGGGAAAAAAAGAGTCCGTGAGTTTCAGTCATTTTCACTGCTCTTTTCAAAAAGATTGTGTTGAGCTGGTAGAAGACTAAAGATGTCACTGAAGACATCACAGATACTATATTTATCTTTTGGCTTTGTGTACATTAGAGAATGTTGATTATTTTTATACAAAAATACAGCGGGTAATTTTTTTAATCTTTAGATGCCTCTTGTTTGAATGTATGCTTTGTGGAATTCTTTGTGTAGTAATGTTTTAAAAAAAGATGTTTACTGATAGTTACATGTAGGATTAGAATATGTAATATAATATAAGGCTCATGTTCCAGACCTACGATAGCTTGTAGTCTATGTTACGTATTTCTTTATATCACATTTTTAATCATTGGATTAAAGTATCAAGGAAAGCTAGGTACTCTATAATGAGTTTTCATTTATTAGCAGTTAATCATCATGACAGAATTGTCATATGCTTGACTTTTCCCTCTTCTTGGAATTTCAGAACACAAATACAGGCTAAGCATTAGTAAGAGATGGCCCACAGTATGAGAGAGAGAGGTGCAACGGAAAATCTCGCCTGGAATTAAAACTTTTCATAGATTATCCACGGTTAATACAAAATTTATTATATGGGGATAGACTGCTCCAGCAATAATGATTACATCCTATAACTGTATTACCTATGGCCTTTAAGGTATCAATTTTGAACTGTGTTGTAGGCTCTCCTTTTATTTGTTCTCTTTCCTAATAGCAGCCATTCTGTACTTATTGAAAGCCCCTGTGCCTACTGCTGTCTTAAGTATTCAGGAGGGGCTTACAAGAGGGTTTTCTATTGGAGAATACCGTATAATCTTAAATCTAGTCCAGATCTCTGTTGTCCCCACTCAAAACATACACAAAATATGCACTTGCTTTTTTCAAGTGAGTTTTTATTTAAAAATGGCTTGTTTGCTATCACATTGGTGCAGCTGTTTCTTTCAAGATGAGTTAATCATCTTAATTTCAAAGCTTCAGCTATATATAATGGATATATAGACAACACTGAGCATCCACCTCTCTCCTGAGCTTTAAAGCAGAGTTTCAGTATGATATAGGTGGGGAGAGTAAATTGTTTTCATATCCTTTCATACTACTACTAATAGTTTTAGGATTTTGACTGGGGAGAGATAATGACAAACAGAAAGGGAACATGGAGGTTCTTCCTACTTTTGCTACCTAAGTTTGCATTTTCTGACTTCCTTGCAGTGTTGCACTCTTTGTCCCATTGGGATAAAAAGCATAAGTTTGAAATTTTGCTTTAAGCCTTGTGTTCCTGGGGAAGTTAAACAACTAAGAGAGCTGATTTGTAAAAATTATTTTTTATATGACATTAATATTCATCAAGCCTTGTGTAGGCATGTGTAAGACACAGCTATGCAGCTTTGAGTAGTCAATATAGTATGAGATAGAGTGTTGTCCCAAATCCTCCTGTCACTTTTTAAGTAGCATATTATTTCCCTGATGGTCCTGTTACTTTGCTGTTGAATGCTCTAAACAGAACTTTTTAAAAGGTGTGTTTTAAGAGCAGTCACCTAGGAGTAGACAAGGTGGAATGGGAGGAGAGAAATGGTAATGCAAAAGCTTGAGCATGGGAAGAGTCAGAGGAGGAGGCCATCATCCTTGTTAGCTTAGCCTACTTCAACACTGAGCACATTTCTGCACTTTTGAAGTGAAATTCATGTTTTACTTAGAAGAAATAATTTTCTTTCATTAGGGATCCCAGTTGATTTTTGTTTCCTGGTGTATCAAAATACTTAGAACTATGAAACAAGTATTATTGTGATCATGCCTTTGAATAATTTTTGACGTAGCTTATCTTCATGTATCAAGTATAAAATTATAATGAGACATCTATTCACAAATACAAGTCTTAGATTGAATTGAAATGTGTTATAGTGCCCTGTCTCCCACTGACTTGTTCAGTTAAATGTCTTAAAGTACATTATGTACATCTTCAGGCTTTTGGTACCACAATGGCACAAGTATGGTAGGGAGGCAATATAGTCTTAGGCTATATGCCTATATTAAGTGTGTATAAACAATTTTTGAAAGAATACACTATTATAGATGTATGTGAGTGATGCTGACCTGACAGCCATATCCAGTGGATGAAACTGACTGGACACACTGTTAAAATGTTTTAAAGATGTATTTTCAGCCAGAACAGCCTGGTTATAGTTTGTGGTTTTCACCTTGGTGGATTGCAGGAACACATGCAGCCTACTGGCATTGAGCATTAGCTAATGGCATGAAAGGGCCTCATCTCACTACCTCTCTAAGGCCTCTAGCTCCAAGAAAACCATGAAAACTTCTTTCTTGGAGAGATCTTTGTCTCAGAATCCTTAGAGAGGATTTCGTATGGGGGCTAACTTTAGGAAGGGAGGCAGCTGGGGCAGGACTTTCTGATACCTGACAGTCATGTTCCAGAGCAACCTTTGGGCAGTGGAAACTGGCGCATCTATGCAAAATGATTGCTCAATCTCTATCTTGTGTACTACATATGTAACTAGCTGGGCCCTAAGGAAGGTTTTCTAGGGGGAAGGATAGGGAAGTAGAGGAGGAGACAAGTAGGAGGAACAAAGCATTCTAGACCCAAGAGGATAGAAGATATTTAGGATAGATATGGCTTTCATCCATAGTTCAAAATAATGCGTTTTGTTAGATGCCAGTTATAGCAGTAAATAGGTTATAGTTTTTATATGTCAAGATTTACCTGTAATCAGACTCATTCTTTCACTCTCTATACCCACTGTCTCCATGCTTGGGAGCATGGATATTAATAGTTCCAGTGATGTAGAAGTTAGTGATTTTTGATTTCTGAAAAAGGTGAGAACCTTTTATTACAGTTGGAGAATATTTGTCAAAAATTCAAAGGTTGTTGTAATTGAGTTGCCAGAATTACAGAGTTTCCATTTTCAGATATCACAGTTGAATCACCTCTGTAGATTGTTATAAAGAGAGGCATTTTAAGATAGTATTTTATTTGCTAGGTTGTGTCTCAGTCTAAGAATTGGGAAAAGAAGAGCTATAGGTTTCTCTTTCCTAGTCTGGATTTCAGTAAACACAAGCCTACCTCTGCTTCTTTGGTTCACAGCAGTGTGGATCATGAAATGAACTGTTTACCCACATTCATCAATATTGGTATTTTACAAATCTACTTGGAGCATTTAATTTCATCTCAAAGATTGTGATCCACTTTAGATAAGCACAAATACAGTATTAGGAAAAGTAAATATGCAATCTTACTAAAATTTCAACTTGTTAAGCTGTATATCTTAAAAGAAATTATTTGGGGCTGGGCATGGTGGCTCACACCTGTAATCCCAGCACTTTGGGAGGCTGAGGTGGGTAGATCACCTGAGGTCAGGAGTTCGAGACCAGCCTGACCAATATGGTGAAACCCTATCTCTACTAAAAACACAAAAATTAGCTGGGTGTGGTGGCATGCACCTGTAATTCCAGCTACTTGGGAGGCTGAGACAGGAGAATTGCTTGAACCCAGGTGGTGGAGGTTGCAGTGAGCCAAGATCACACCCCTGCACTCCAGCCTGGGTGACAGAGCGAGACTCCATCTCAAAAAAACAAAACAAAAAATTATTTGGGAAGATACGTCCTCTTTTATTAGAAGTTCATAAAATGTATCATATAGTTTTGTTCACAGTAGTTATATAAGCTTTCTTCAAATAAATTTAAAATTAGATTACCTTCTTTGGAAAAAGAATTTCCTAAATTTTTAAGAATTTTCAAAGTTTTACATATTAGTTTTTAGAACCTAATCCGTTTTAAAATTGTACTATGAGAAAGCTTTTTTTTGAAAGTTGTAAAGCATTAATACAAATAATACAAATATAATTATTACCATCACATTCCAGAGAATATGGCTTTTTCTAAACTTTCAATTTAGAAAACATACATTAAGGGAGAATCTCTGCCCTCCTTTTCAGCTCTGAAGATCAGCTTTTCTACTCAGACACATGCACACACCCCTTCCAAGTGTCATGTTTATGGGAACATTTGGGAAATGTTTTCCAGATGTTTTATTTTTTCCCTTTTATAGTTTGTTGACATTTAATTTTACTTAAAGATGACAATTTTAATCGGAAATGTTAGAGGTACAACATAGTGAGGTTCTAGCTAGCTTTATACTTTTGAAAAATATTTTTGTTTCTACTGCTTTTTACAAGTACTAGTCCTCTCAGTGATACTGGTGGTGTTCAGTATGAATCCATAGAAAGAAAACAAAATTTGTTGTTTAAAAAAAGCAGAGTAATGAATGAATTTCAGTTTTGAAAACAACATAATTTGAAAACACTGTTATACTAACATGGCAAGGTGTTAATTAAATATAAGAGTAAGGTAGTAAGTTCTTTTAGAGCACCTGTTTAAATTTACTCCAGTAATCATCTTAAGGATTGATAGTCACCATCACTTATTGGCTTAAAAGTTATATTTCATGGAATATTATCAGTGTTAAATCCAAGCTTTGTGGAGCTTTAAGTGATGGTGGTGAAAAAGTTGGTGTTTATGAGAGAGTGGTGGGGTGTCTAGTCATTAGTGAAGTTAAACATCAACCTGTTTTAGAAAGAATTTTTTAGTCTTGCCTAAAGTAAACCAGAAGTGTCTAGTGTTTAAATCTTTATTTAGAATGCTTCTCTTAAAAGTATTTTTTGTTTTGGGTAGTATTAAATAATCAGTAAATAATCTATTTCAGTAGTAAATAATGAATTAAGATGATGATGAATGAGGATTAACACACTGGTCTGGAGACTGGGGTTTTATTTCAGTGGGTTAGCTGTGTGTGACATGTTGGGCAATTACTCAGCTGTTTTAACAGCTTCCAGATATGCAGTATGGTGCCTGTACTACTCAAAAGTTGATTTTGGTTTAATTCATCTTTAAGGTACCTCCCAGCTCTAAAACTATGATTCTAGGCTGTGTAATGGGGTTATTCCTACTTTATTCTCTTTCCTTTTTTAAGGGTTCATTTTATACTTAATAAGCATCCATTTCTTGGGTCACCTACAGTCTTTGTTCTCCTAAGGATTAAAATAGAAAATTCATACATAACAAGCAAATGATGACATTTTCCTAAATGCTCCTTATTGGTTAACCACTGAATATATGAACACATATGAATATTGTCATTCATGTACTTAAATTCATTTAGCAAACTATTTGAACACTTACATGTGCAGTGTTTGGTGAACATGACATGAGGAACTAGTAGTAAGTAAAATCTTCCCCCCAAAATTCATTGTGGCTTAAATAAATATGAACATAATCATTACTACTTAATATACTGAGAGGGAATCTTAATAAACTTGGAACTGGGAGGGAATATTTGTATACATTGGGTAAAGGGTTAGGCTAGATGACATCTAAGGGGTCTGAGTGAATCATATCATAATTTTTATAACACATTTCACATACTAAACATCAGTTGGCCCCATACCTGATTAAGTTACAAAATTTAGGAGACTTAACATTAAGGACTTACAGGTTGAGACAGCCCGTATTTCACAACATTATTTTGACACTTGACTCTATTCCAGAGTTGTTGCTATACAAGGCATGTGGCAGAACAAAAAAAAAGCTGGTGTTGATATAAGAGCTTTTTACCCAGTATTGACAGTGAGCAACTTTCTTTCTTTTTTTTTTTTTTTCTTTTTTTTTTTTTTGAGATGGGTTCGCTCTGTTGCCCAGGCTGGTGTGCAGTGGTGCGATCTCAGCTCACTGCAACCTCCACCTCCCGGGTTGAAGCGATTGTCTTGCCTCAGCCTTCCAAGTAGCTGGAATTACAGGTGCCCGCCGCCACACCTGGCTAATTTTTGTATTTTTAGTAGAGACGGGGCTTCACCATGTTGGCCAGGCTAGTCTCGAACTCTTGACCTCAAGTGATCCACCTGCCTTGGCCTCCCTAAGTGCTGGGATTACAGGCATGAGCCACCACACCTGTCCGACAGTGTAGCAACTTTCTAAAACTGAAAAATCTCAAAGGAGATCATTGGAACTGACTTGTTCATTTATTTTTTGTTTTTAAATTAAGAAAGATTACACAAAATAAGTGTTACTGTACTTTAAGCTATTACAAATATCCAACTTTTAAAGATATGTAAGAATCAGTAATATTCTAGAAAGCACATATATAGTAAAAGGGCATCCTTTAAATGTAGAACGGGTAAACATGAAACAGTTCCATGCTTGAATTGTTAAGTATCTAGGGGGTAAACATTGAATGGGAGAATCATTTATTGGGTTAAGGTCCCTTCCTTGTCATTCTGGGATCTGTGAATCACATTGTAATTCCTGTTGACAAAGCTTTACTTGTTAACATCAGTTGATACTGACATTCTCCATAAAGATATAGAATGAAAATATCTATTAAAAATAGTTTATCATTGTTTTAGCTTTTTTGTTTTGTTTGTTTTGAGACAGAGTCTCACTGTCACCCAGGCTTGAGTGCAGCGGTGTGATCTTGGCTCAATGCAACCTCCACCTCCCAGGTTCAATAGATTCTCCCACCTTGGCCTCCCAAGTAGCTGGGATTACTGGCATGCACCACTATGCCTGGCCAGTTTTTTGTATTTTTAGTAGAGATGGGGTTTCACCATGTTGGCCAGGCTGGACTCGAACTCCTGACCTCAAGTGATCCGCCCACCTCAGCCTCCCAAAGTGCCGGGATTATAGGCATGAGCCACTGCGCCTAGCCTGTTGCAGCTTTTTAAAGCAGGAAAATATCCATATAAACTGTTGGGTTAGAATCTATATTAGAATCTTTCAAACTAATTGAAAACAGGAAGACTATCATCTAAGTAGCCAGATAATCTGGGTTTCAAAAAGTTATTCCATGGTACTGGTTTAAAAAATACTTTTCAAGTGTTTTAATTTTTAAAGTGTAACTAATTCTTCAAATATGTTATGCTGTTAAAATATGTATTCCATAAGTACTTTTTGTATATGTATTCTTAAATTTTAAAAAGTCAACTGAATGCGCAAAGATGATATAATTTTGGATGTAGACATTTAAACTAGATTCCCAGTCCTCTCCTTCAAAAGCTTGGTCTTTGTTTTTCCTATAGGGAAAAAAGTCAAAATAAGTTCCAAAAACTATCCTCAAAGTAGTATTGTGCTTGTAGTAAATGAAGGTTGGATGGATGGATACTGACAATGGTGGCAGGCATTTCAAGCCTTTTAAATTAGTACTTTTTGTCGTCTTGCTTATTAAAATTTTGTTAATTTTAGCAAAGACCAATTGTTGTGATAAACTGGTGTTTTTTGGATGCTTCAAGCACACGTTAACCAATTTTTTAATTCCCCTTTTGGTTCCTCCCATTGTTCTAAAATAGGACTTTCATATTATTAAAACCTCAAAAGATGATCCACCCAGGATGAACAAAGATCACCAAGGGGAAAGAAAACATTTTTTATCTTTACAGAAAACATGTTAAGATTATATATAGATGTATTCTTTACATTGGATATTGTATTAGAGTCCTCCTTACAAGAAATGAAATAGTTTTTAGCACTCTTAGCATTAGAGTTCCTAGATTGGTGTTGATAGCTACAGTTTTAAAATGTATAACCTGAAAATGAAGGTTAATTTTGCATTGTAAGAGCACATTTGATCTATGTAAAAAGTGTCCATTTGGTGTATTTTTTTAAAAAAGAGAAAGCACTTTCATATTAAGTAGCATGTGTATGAATTTAGATTTTCATATTTGTTGTGTCTGTATTCAGTGAAGTAAATTGAGCATTTAAATGTTTGTTGATGGCAACATTAACTATTAAATTAAAGCACCTTATACTCTGCTGCTTAACTTGCTTGTAATTGCACCTTTGTTACCTGCACATTTTCATATAGAATATTGTTGTAACATTGCTTCATGTGGGTCTGGATGGAAGATTAGTGGGCCTACAGGATCATTTATTTATATTGTTTATATTACAATAATATATTGTAGATCAGTTGTAAGTTCATTTCTTTACAAATAAAAGCCTCTTCCATTTGACTGGTCTATTGAATAATTTTTTTTTCTTTAAGCTTATGAGACATGGGGAATCCTCTGTGTAAACAAAACAAAAAGCTTAGTGAGGTTTGAAATGGTTTTAAAAATCTCCTGATTTAAAATCTGCAAAGAGTGTAAGCAAGTCTTTACTGATTAATTTCAATATATTTAAACATATTTCAGTCCCATATTTGGCCAACAACTAGAAGGCAATATATTTAGAGGAAAAAGTAATAGAAGGAAAGAGGGGGCCGGGTTTAAGAAGAGTTCTAAACTGTTTAAACACACCCTGATGTTGTCTTGAACATAGGATTATTTGTCCTAAACTTTCGATATAGTTGGCTGTCTATATGCATTTGGTTTTTATAGAATGTGATTTTTATTCCTATTATTTATTATTTTCTCAAGTATATATATATTTTAACATTGTACCACCCATTATATTGGTTATTATTTCTCTTCCCTGCCATGTCTTCTGTTAACAGATCTGATCATAGAGAGGTGGACATATGATTGAAGTCAGGTTGAACAGTCATTCCCCGGGACTGTATATTTGAAGAAGTTAGGAGATGCTTTAAGTAAGTGTAATTAATTATGAAAGCCCTGAGCTGCTGGCAGCCAGAACACCCACTTTGTGGACACAAAATGGAAACCGACAACTCAGAGAGATTCTCCTAGTAGTTTACTAAGTAAGTTCTTGCCAATATCCAGCTTGTTCTTAGAATGGCTCAGGTTGAGTTTGTATTACCTGCTACTCAAAGAATTCTTGACTGACTCTCCAGGAGCATTTCCCAACTTGTCTTTATAGATGCTTAATTAATTAATTTTAGCTAATTAAAGAGACTTGTGTGCTCAAGTAAATGGTTTTCTTCTTCTTCATTATAGCACTATAAAGCCTTAAGGTGTTCATGGGCGTTGTACATTTTCAAGTGAAAAATAAATAATAATAATTAAGAAACAACATTCTTCACATTTGACTCTGAAACCATTCTTTTCTTTTTGAGAAGTCAGTGGCACCAATGAAAGGCAATGTAATACAGTGGTAAAGAGCAAGAACTGTGGACCAGAATTCTGGGTTTGCATCCCAGCTTCCCCAATGTCTGTCTAGTTGTATCATAGTGAGTTTCTTACTTTCAATGTTTAAATTTCCTCATCTGTAAGAAGGGGATAATAGTTCCTGTCAGAGTTGCTATAAGGATTAAATCAGTTGCTGCATGTAAAACAAACACTTAAGACGGTACCTGGCACACAGGACACATTTCTTAAATCTTTTTGCCATTATTAGTGTTCCATAGCGCTTGTTTTAGGACATTTTTTCAAATAACAGAAAGTAATCCATTTGTGGATCATCAACTCAATTTAGTGGATAAAAACCAGCATTTAAAAAATGACACTAAAAAACATATTTGCATGATATGTAAGGGTAAGTATTGTTATACTTGTATGTACATGTACATGTTATACATGTTATGTAAGGGTAAGTATGTTACTTGTATGTACACATAAACGTACATACAAGTCTATAGGTCATGATGTTAAAAAATATATCTTACTATAAATATCAAAAAAAATCAAAAGCCACCAATTTAGGAAAAGCTAGGTTTAGATTTATGCAATATAGTATTTTTAAATGGTGATAAAAAATATCTATGTAGCTTAATTCCTAAAGTAATGTAAGATGATGATCCTGCCACTCATATTGTTTTACTCCAGTGAAGCAACTCTGCCTATCCACCGGGGGAGATTTGGCAATGTCTGGAGACATTTTTTATTGTGTCTACTGGGCATGGAGGTGCCACCAATCAGTCAGTGGGCAGAGAGCAGGGATCCTGCTAAACTGCCCCACAACAAAAAATTAACCAACCCCAAATGTCAAGCGTGCCGAGGATGAGAAATTCTACTTTTACGTGTGATACATCATTGCTAACGTGATTATGATGTGATATGCAAGTATGTGATGACATACAAGTTTTATAATATGAAAACGAATCTGCTGAATCATCGAAAGGGACCTAGTCACTGCTCCCAGTTCCATAAGGTGAGCAACCAAAACCCTCTTCTTCCAGGAATATTTGCATTAAAAACAGAGATATACTTTTTAAAATTAATTAGCTACATTTAAAATGAGGTAATCTTCTTCTTCCTCTTACATTGAACTTTATGCCAAATCATTTTAAGAACAATTTTTACTTTCTTGCTTTCATTTGAACATTTAATAAAAATGTTTAGGTTGATATCTTAAAGTTGTCAGTGAAATCTCAGATTTACATAACAGTTTGCATCCAGTAGTTTTTTTGAGTAACACAAACATCAGTATAGCCAAATGTTAACTCTTATCACTTTTTGTGTTAATAACAAAGTAATATTTGTAATATAGTGTCCCTGAATAACTATAAAAACTTCTTGGAATTATTTTGTTTTTAAAATAAAACACTATTTAATAACTGGTATCATAGCCCTTCAAAAGACACATTCTGAAATGCTATCAGTCAGGGGGCAAAAGTTGTTTTAGTTCAGTTTATTTTTTAATATGTCCTGAGTTCTTTCTGTTCATAAAATTATGATCTTATGACAGCTGTAACTTTTAATTAATAATATTAACAAATCATTATTGATATAGGCTTTTCAATTTGCTCAAGATTAGGAATTGTAAGTGGAATGAAGCAGCACTTCCAGTTGACAAATGGATCCAAAGGTAATCCAATGTCTTTTAAATTAAGCTTGTGACAATTAAACCAATACACTGTAGCAATGAGAAAACTATTGACAAAGTATAACCAGGGAATATTCATCTCAATATATGCTGGAATCTGAACTTTAAGTAAAACAATGATTACCTGAAGTAGTACAAATGGTAACCAGGTACTGAGAAAACAGACAATGAGCTTGGATAAGAATATTTTTTTAGATCTCACAGTATAACTGGAGTGGGATGAAAAAGGAAAATATAAGATAGTTTCATTCATATAGGAAGTTATCCTGATAGCCTGTACCAAAGTAGTAACTTCTTCCCAACAGGTTATGAAAGCTACAAATAAAATCATCACCATGAAAAATGACAGCCAGTAACTCTGAATGCTGACATAGAAAGGACAGTGACGAGAATAAGCATTCTGTGCCTTCAGGCTTTGGTAGATGGCTGGGTCTCCCAAAACATAAGCAAGGACTGAAATCCAAATTAAAATTACTGTAAAGAAATAAAATAATTTTTGACACTTAAATGAAAGCTTGGTTGTTTTAGAGAAATTCAGGCAATAATCTATACAAGCTGTCAGGAAAACTGGATAATGCAAAAAGCCATAAGTAAAGGAAATAATTTGAGTAAATAGGCAGATGTGGTATTTAGTGAACCTAATGCTTAAAAGTACAAAATCCCTGAAATACAATATAATGGAAATGTTTACCAAAAGTAAAAGATCAACGAATGCTAGTGAAATGCAAAAATATTCCATAAAATTTTGACAGGTGTTTTTTCTTCTCATTCCTAGTGTAAGGATATTTAATAATATTTTCCCAAGTATGATCAAGAATAGCAGATAGTTAACATCTAGGGGCTGGTTTGTTTGACGTAACTGGTACTGAAAAGAGCAGTTCTCTGAAGAGAGAGCAGTCATATTTTTAGTTAAATTTCAAGAAGACCTGCTGAAATACACATGATAAAACACTGCTTCATTTTCTGTCCCTGCAAAAAAAGTGAAAAGAAAACCTTAATGTTACCTATTTTGAAACTTTACAAAGCAAGCACCACTATTCTTAAAAGCCTAATTCAATCATTTCCCCAAATAAATATATGAATAAGAATTATATGTCACATAATACTTAATAGAATACAGAACAAAATTAATGTGTATACTCTGGTCATTTTTTTGAGACCCAGATGGTCCAGAACTCAGAGATTTTTAAACCAAAATGTTATATATAAATTACTAACTTCTATATATAAGTACAGGTTTTAATAACTTTTAGATAGAGAAATGGTTTTATCTACCAGGGCCAAAACTCATGCCTAAAATAGAAGCTTGATAGTAATATGCAAAACAACCACATAGAGCTTTTAACCCCACCTCACTCTGACTCCAGACAGCATGACCCCAGTCCCTTTTGTCAGTGAAGTTTAGAAGCGATGCTTATGGGGCCCCTTAACACAGTTTTCAAAGCTTTTTAGCTGCAGGATCCTTCAGATTAAGTCTTTTCCTGAAGCTCTGAAAACAGGTGGTTTCAGCTAAAAATAATGAGAACATAGGTAAAGGAAAGAAAGAAAAGTGTTTATCTTCTGGATATGATCTTTCAGGTATGGCATGTGGAGAGACGAGAATACAGGGAAGGAACAGGGACTCAGTATGGATACATGAGAACATTAGGAAGCGGTAGGTAAAGGCAAAGGAATAGGAGTTGAGGCTTCAGTGATACATACATTTTGGAAGCAGGAAAAAGATGATGAAAGAAGTCAGAAGAAGAATCAGGAAAGGACTGAAAGGAAAGGTAGGAGATTCAAGAAACACATCCTTAAAAAAAATCAGTTGACCCAAACTTAACTTATTTCTACAATACTACTCAATCGCAGTATTTATAAATAGCAAAAAAACAAAAACAAAAACCAAAAAAAAAAAAAACCCCAAAAATGACAAGAACAACAAACCCAGTCAATCACAAATGTGAACAACTGGAGATTGGTTCAAAACAACACAGGTTGGCTGGGTGTGGTGGCTCTTGCCTGAAATCCCAGCATTTTGAGAGGCCAAGGCAGGAGGATGGCTTGAGCCCAGGAGTTGGAGACCAGCCTGAGCAACATAGGGAGCTGCCTCTACCAAAAAAAAAAAAAAATTACCTGGGCATGGTGATGCACACCTGTGGTTCCAGCCACTCAAGAGGCTGAGGTGAGAGGATCGCTTGAGCCTGGGAGGTCAAGGCTGCAGTGAGCCATGATTGTGCCACTGCACTCCAGCCTGGGTGACAGAGCAAGACCCTGTCTCGAAAAAAGAAAAAAACAAGAAAGAAACGAAACACAGGTTGAGTATCCCTTATCAGAAATGCTTGGAACCAGAAGTGTTTTGGATCTTGAATGCATCCCTAATCCAAAAACCCACACTTTCATTTGAGCATCAGGTCAGTGCTCAGAAAGTTTTGGATTTTAGAGCATTTCAGATTCCAGATTTTGGATTAGGGATGCTCACCCTGGATATGGTCATCTTTATGATATGCAGCCATTAAAAATGTTTCTCAGGATAGGAGGAAGACTTAGTTTTCATACTTTTCACTCTACCTTCATTTGTTAAATTTTAAGCCTTGTGAATTTGGTACATGTTAAAAAAATAATGTCATGATAAATTTTCACAGTATGTTAAGTGAAATGCAGGTTACAAAATTATGCAGCAACATGTCATGTAAGAAATACATGCATAGGAAAAGGCTAAAAAGGTACATATCAAGTTACCAATACAGTAGTAGTATACTTTCTTTTTCCCAAACTTTAAGGAAAAAAATGGAGTTTTGAGTCTGAAAACTGAAAAAATTAAATTTGCCTAAAAATAGGTCACTGATGATTAAATAATTTTGTCTGAAGATAAATCAGTGTGACAATAGTAAAAACATGGAATCAACCCAAATACCTGTCAGTGACAGATTGGATAAAGAAAATGTGGTACATATATACCATGGAATACTATGCAGCGTAAAACAAGAGATCATGTCTTTCACAGGAACATGGATGGAGTTGGAGTCCATCATCCTTAGCAAACTAACGCAGGAACAGAAAACCAAATACCGCATGTTTTCACTTATAAGTGGGAGCTAAATGATGAGAACACATGGACACAAAGAAGGGGACAGTGGACACTGGGGTCTACTTGAGGGAGGAGGGTGGGAGGAGGGAGAGAAGCAGAAACAATAACTATTAGGTACTAGACTTAGTACCTGGGTGACAAAATAATCTGTGCAGAAAACCACCCTGATATGAGTTTATAACAAACCTGCACATGTACCCCTGAACCTAAAATAAAAATAAATCACTGTGAGAGAGGGCTATCAGTTTTGATGACAGATTGAACCATTACTCTCATGGCCATAAATCTGTCATAAGATAACTTATTAAGGTATACAAATAATCTACTTATACAAACGTATATATGTGTAAAGGCAATAATACAAAATCTATTTTCATAACTATAAAAGACCCAATCAAACAAGTACTTCCCACACTCAAGTTTTTTTCCCCTGTATTTAAACATAGTACAGTTTAATTTGATCTTATCCAAAAAAGTTGCATTCCAGATTTGATATACAAGGGCACAGAAATGTAGCTGCCAACTTGACAAATGCCATTGGTCTTACAAGTGGTGTTGCTTGGATAAAGAAGCCAAGATGAGTAAGACCATATGAAGTCCCCCTTGTGCCAAAAATGAAAACAAAAAAGGCTTAGTTTTAAACAACCAATGTTGGTTTAAAATGAGGGTGAGGAAATTTTGTGGATTCATAAAGACCCATTTTTCAAAAATGTAACTTTAGGATAAAAGAATAGAATCATCTGTCTCACATGATTTTAACTTTTATAACTCCTGTTCTAAATTAAGTAAGGAAAGCCAAGTCAGGCTGGGGGCCGTGGCTCATGCCTGTAATCCTAGCACATTGGGAGGCCAAGGTGGGTAGATCACTTGAGCTCAGAAGTTCAAGACCAGCCTGGGCAACATGGTGAAACCTAGTCTCTACAAAAAATACAAAAATTACTCGGGTGTGGTGGTGGGGGCCTATAGTTCCAGCTACTTGGGAGGCAGAGGTGGGAGGATCACCTAAGCCCAGGAGGTCAAGGCTGTGGTGAGCCAAGTCATGCCACTGCATTCCAGCCTGGGTGCCAGATTGACACTCTGTCGCAAAAAGAAAAGCCAGGTAGGCAACATCCAAGGGATGTTTTCCAAGTTCCCGTTTCATCATTGACTCTTGACAGGTGGAGGCACCTGGAAGATGACAAAAGTAGGGAGGAGGAGGACCTGGAGGAGGACGCTTGTGTCTCCTAGGGGATGAGGAAGGTCCACAGAGGAGAAAGAGAATCAGCTACAGCCACCAAGGCAGGAACCAAGAACCTCTTCAGAAGATGACTGGAATAAAGAAGACAAGTCCGACATGGAACATGTAAGAGAATCATAAAGCTAGAAGAAAAATAAGAGCGGGGAAGACAGGCAACTTGAGGCAATAAAAAGCGAAAGGAAGAAACTGGAAAACAAGATTTTGGCCAATTTACGATAGTTCCTGAATACCACGATCATGGAAACCAATCAGAGCTTTCTTAGACGACACCAATTTTATGTACTCTACCCCAATTACCCTGTAAACCACTATAAGTGTTCAAAATTCCAATATTTTGTTTTTTAAAACAACTCCCTGAACAAGACAGAAATCCTTTGATAAGCTACCTGAATTTTCTCTAGAAAAATGTTCACAAAATACAGGGACTCAAGAGATTTACAAGATCTGGTCCTTTTCCTGCATGATTCTTTAAACTACTTGTGAATGAACTCATATGCAACCTGAAAAGTTAACATGAAAGTCCTTTTCAAGGTATCTTGCTTTACGATCTGGCCCAGTTTGGAGGTATTAGCAGGGCCTCAGGGAAACAAACCATGATTTCGTTTCACTGACCCAGTCTCTGTTTTTCCCTTTGTAACCCAATTAATTATTAACAACTTGCATACTTACTCTCCAGTGGGTCTTCCTTGACTGATGATCTTCCTATTTAATTTCACTTTTACTGCCTTCAATTATGTTATTTTTGGTTCCTTGCATTTCATTTTGATATACCAATATGCTATGTGAGTAAGCTCTGTGTGAAAGATAGAAAACAAAATGAAACATCATTAAGAGCTATCTTAATAGCAAGAGTCCAGTTAAACTGGTTCCAGATCACTGCTTAGAAAAATTGTAGCTTTTTGTGGGACTGAAGCCAGGAAGTAACTGCTTACATTCTTAGTTTCTTTCTTGCAAAAGGAAGAAAGGGGATACTTGGATTGAAAGCACACCAAAGATGGAGAGATTGATGCATACACCACATTTACTTAAAGGAATCTTGCTTTATAGTTTTCAGCCACAGGATAAAGCAGCTGTCCTCCAAAGTGTTTGGTTTCAGGACCCTTTGACCCTTGATGCATGTTAACATCAATAACATTTTTAAAATGTTATTTAAATAATATGGTAAAAATTACTATATTTTACCAAACAATAATTTAGTGAGCAGAGTGGCATTGTTTCACATTTCACAACTTGCTTTAGTGTCTGGCTTAATAGCAGACAGCTGAATTTTCATCTATGCCGGGTCTGTCCCACAGACCCTAGTCGAGCAACGGATGAAAGGAGTACTCAGACACAGATAAGCAGTGTAACAGCAGCTAGGGGGCTGCCCAGCACTAGTGGCCGAAGAAGAGAGCAGCCTTGAACAGCTGGAGCTGCTTGCTTTTATTCAGTACAGACATAATGCCGAAAGCCTGGAGCAAACACAGTCTGTGGGTAATTAACATTACTGTCCCCCCTTTCAGGGAGCAGTAATGCATGCGGATGATCAAAGGTCGGTTTCTGGACAACACAAGTGAACAAGCCTATTTAAGATAAATTCCCCTACACGTCCTTGTACCTACTCCTTGCCCTCTTCAAGGTCAGAAAACAGCTGCCTTCAGCTTATTCTCCCCCGGAAGCTATGTAGAGCCTTCCGGCCTTCCAGAAGGCCTGCTCCTTTCCCTACAGTTTCTCCCACCACTCTGACTGATCTACATCTCCCCCTTTTTTTTGCATCAGGTTTTGTTGATTGAAGAGTACAGATGTGTGCAGTGCCAGGTTTGACAGGCGCAGTAGTTACAGCTCGTGTTCTGGCTTTGCGTAAAGCGGTCTGCTGCACATAATTCATCAAATTCTGCCCTCTAGAGGAGGTATTGACTTGCCTCTAAAGTTGTTTTAGTTAGCACTGACCAGTCCCATGGGGTCATATGGAAGTTGTCTGCCATGGCCTCAATTAATCCTTTCATAAACGGGCTAGCGGCTCCATTTTCTCTAATGCTTTTTCTTATCTCTTTGTAAGTGTTGAAAGTAATGGGTTCATGTACCCGATTGCCTTGTTGATCTTGCATTACCAGGCAGACCAAGAGCTCCCCTTCTAATGCCGCTTGCTTAAGACAGGGTCCCATAACTGTAGTGTATCCCTTGTCCTTTTTCCAGTTTATTGGGGGAGGGGGCTCAGGGAAAACCTCTGTCTCCTCTGTGGCACCTTTACCCGGTAACGGTGGGGCTGGGGGAGGAGGCGGAGGCAGTAAGGTAGATGATGGTTCTTCCTCCCAAGCAGCCCTAACTAAGGCCCATAATGTTAAAGATGTTACTGGGACCCCATTGCCCTTGTGCATGATGTCGTTTAAGATTTCTTCCCACTTGCTCCCAGAGCTCTAGGTCTAACGTGCCTTCTTCTGGGAACTATGGGTTATGGAAAACAAGAGTTTGCATTAGGTCCCTTAATTGGGCCTCAAACTGAGGCTCCACCAGCTTTAAGCAGTTGTTTCAATACTTTTATATGCTGTTTCTGTTGAGTAAGTGTTGTCCCAATGTGAAACCCTAGCTTGAAAATTCCCTCGAACTTGGAAATCCCAAGAGGGCTCCAATTCCAATTACTGGCTTACTGCGCAGTCTCTTCACCTTCGTTTTCGAGGGTTCCGTCGCGATCCATTGCAGCGTTCCTCACACAGGGCACCAGCTGCTGGGTCTGTCCCACAGACCCTGGCCAAGCAACTGAAGAAAGGAGTACTCAGACACAGATATGCAGTGTAACAGCAGCTAGTGGGCTGCCCGGCACTAATGGCTGAAGAAGAGAGCAGCCTCGAACAGCTGGAGCTGCTTGCTTTTATTCAGTACAGACATAATGCCGAAAGCCTGGAGCAAACACAGTCTGCGGGTAATTAACATTATTGTTCTTCCTTTCAGGGAGCAGTCATGCGCGCTGATGATCAAAAGTCGTTTCTGGACAACACAAGTGAACAAGCCTATTTAAGATAAATTCTCCTACACGTCCTTGTACCTACTCCTTGCCCTCTGCCTCAAGGTCAGAGAACAGCTGCGTTCAGCTTATTCTCCCCTGAAGCCTTCCGACCTTTCAGAAGGCCTGCTCCTTTCCCAACAGTTTCTCCCACCACTCTGACCGATTACCTATACATCTACATTTCATCAGCTGAAATATCACACATCATGTAGCTTCTGGAAAGTCCTCTGTACATTCACGAGAGTTGGAAAGTAAAAAAAAAGGTAAAAACTTCAAGTGTTTTTATAATCAGTTGTGTTGCAGAATCTCATGCAATCTTAGAAAAGTTTAAAAAAACCATGTGCGTTAGACAACAGGATGGGAGATGAACGCTGTGAACATGAACATTCTGGTTTACTGTTGTGTAGAAGATGGAATTCATACTGCAGCTGTATTTGGTGAGCCCGATAAGTGGAGCAAGCCTGTGGGAGAAATAGCCTTATCAGGGGTTTTACATACTGTTTTTCTAATTCTTAACAACAGTCATAAAAGGTATATATAATTTTTCCCCATGAGGAAAACAGGCTTGTGGTTAATAAGTACATTTCCCTAGGTCCCATGACTCGTAAGTGTTGGAGCTAAAGTTCAACCTCAAGTCTGACTTCAAAGCTCACGTTCTTCAGTAAACCACAATTATGGCTTAACTCACTGGAAATGTAGAAAAGGACCCAATGTATGTATGTGAAAGAGCTTTCTAAAAAACCAACATGTGGTGGCTCATGCCTGTAATCGCAGCACTTTGGGAGGCTGGTGCAGGCGGATTGCCTGAGGCCAGGAGTTCAAGACCAGCCTGGTCAACATGCTGAAACCCCATCTCTACTAAAAATACAAAAATTAGCCAGGCGTGGTGGCGGGCGCCTGTAATCCCAGCTACTCAGGAGGCTGCAGCAGGAGAATCGCTTGGACCTAGGACGGGGAGGTTGCAGTGAGCCGAGATTGCACCACTACACTCCAGCCTGAGCAACAGAGTGAGACACAGTTATCTCAAAAAAAAAATAATAATTAAAAAAATAAAAAAGCGACATTCAAGTAACAGTGACTGTACTGATTACTGATATCCATAGGATTGTGACTTGACTATCCATTTGGATAATGAAATTTTATCCCTCCAAAAGGTAAATATAAACTTTGAAGAGTTTGTATTTGAAATGTGGTCTTCGCTTGATGTGTCCAAATTCAGTGGAAAAAAAAAGTCACTCAACTCTGATAATGTTTTGCATTCATCCATTTGCACAGTACAGTTATATTCAATATAGAAAATATGGAAATGTTTTTATTTTACTTATTTTTAAAAATAGGTGATATAATTTACATGATACAAAACTTGGGTGACAGATGTGTATTACAGTGAAAGTTACCTGTGCCACCCAATCCTCCCTCCAACACCCCCACTCTGCCCAGCGCTGTCTAGCCAGTTTCCCTCCCTAGATACAACCACTATAACCAGTTATTTGTATATATTTCCAGAGATATTCTAAAGCAAAGTTTTAAAAAGAAATATGAAATTTCCTTATTAAGACAACTAGTGAGAGATTCTTGATTTGTCCTTTCCTGTTTTATTTATACACTGATAAAATCTGACAAAAGAGGCGCAAAGGTAGAACATAACCAAGAATTATCAGTGATCTGCCAGAAGCAGGAGTAATTCCCACCAACCCAAACATAAGGCTGGCGATAAGGAAGGCCAGTGAGGCCAGGCAGAAGACAGCAAGCAGAGGTTATCTCAAGGTAGGGGATAGATGATTTTTATTTTTCTCCTTCAGTGTAGAATTATAGTGCTCACCCACATGCCTGCTTCATCTCTGCTTCTGCCCATGGAGGATTTTTGTTCTTTGATCCCTACAGTTAATGGTCTACCAGGCCAAAACATTTTATTGCAGATGAGTTGCCCTTCATTGTTGTCTTCCCCATCATGGGCTGGGGAGGCGGGGAGGCAATGCATTCCAGATGGTACATTACAAGATGGTGGAGCCTCTGTCAACCTGGGTCCTTGAGTGACCATGTGAAGCAAAGCCCCTGGCGATTCACAATGGGTGTATAGTATGAGCAAGAAATAAACCTTTGTTGCATTAAGTCAATGGGATTTGGCCTTTCCTGACTAATGCCATTCCTCATTATTCTCTATATCCTTTGAAATTTTTTTAACAGGATGTATTATTTATATTATCAGAAAAAAGACCTTTAAAAAGCCATGATACAAATGTAAGAATATTGGTAAAACTCAAAATTCAATTTTAATTTGTCATATATTTGTAAAAGTCATATACTTTTGCATTTTTCCTTCTGATATTCTTTTGGTTTTGTTTTGTTTTGCTTGAGTTGGAGTTTCGCTCTTGTTGCCCAGGCTGGAGTGCAATGGCACAAACTCGCCTCACTGTAACCTCCGCCTCTTGGGCTCAAGTGATTCTCCTGCCTCAGCCTGCTAAGTAGCAGGGATTACAGGCACACACCACCATGCCTGGCTAATTTTTGTTATTCTTAGTAGAGATGGGGTTTCCACCATGTTGGCCAGGCTAGTCTCGAATTCCTGACTTAAAGTGATCTGCCCACCTTGGCCTCCCAAAGTGCTGGGATTACAGGTGTGAGCCACTGCACCCGGCCCTCTTCTGATATTCTTATATTTGCCTGTTTTCAAAAAGAAGGGCTCAATTCAATAACCTAAATTTAAACTTTAAGGAAAAAAGCAAATTAAACCCAAAGTAGGTTAAAGGGAAGATTAAAAAAAAAGCAGAAATCAATGAAATTAAAACAAACAAAAATAAGGCCAGGCATGGTGGCTCATGCCTGTAATCCCAGCACTTTGAGAGGCCGAGGCAGGAGGATCACTTGATCCCAGGAGTTTGAGACCAGCCTGGGCAACACGGCAAAACCTCATCTCTATCAAAAAGTATAAAACTTAGCTGGGTGTGGTGGTGGGCACCTGTGGTCCTAGCTACTTGGGAGGCTGAGGTGGGAGGATCGCTTGAGCCCAGGAGGTGGAGGTTGTGGTGAGCCAAGATTGTGCCACTACACTCCAGCCTGGGAGACAGAAGAAGACCCTGTCTCAAATAAATAAATAAGCAAAGGAAATCAATCAAAACAAAAACAACAACAACAACCCCAAAACAACAGAAAGAAAATCGATACAAAACTGCTTCTTTAGGGGAAAAAAAGAACCAATAAAATTAATAAACCTCTAGCCAAATTAAGAAAGAAATTACCAAAATTGGGAAAGTGAGTACCTAGAAACATTAAAAGAATAAGGAACTATTTTGAACAACTTTATTTCGATAAATTTGTATGATGAAACAAATTTCTGGAAAGACACTACCGAAACTCCGTCCAAAAGATCCCTAAATAGCTCTATTAAAGAAACTGGCCCAGTGTGGTGGCTCATGCCTGTAATCCCAGCACTTTGGGAGGCTGAGGCCAGCGGATCACCTAAGGTCAGGAGTTCAAGCCCATCCTGGCCAATATGGTGAAACCCCCGTCTCTACTAAAAATTCAAAAATTAGCCGGGCATGGTGGCTTGGCCTGTAGTCCCTGCTGCTCCAGAGACTGAGGCAGGAGAATCACTTGAACCCAGGAGGCGGAGCTTGCAGTGAGCCGAGATTGTGCCACTGCACTCCAGCCTGGGTGACACAGTAAGACTCCATCTCAAAAAAAAAAAAAAAAAAAAAAAAATCCCTATTAAAGAAACTGATTCTGTATTTAAAACCTACCCACAAAGAAAATATAGGCTCAGATGTCTTCATTGATGGATTCTATCAAGCATTTAGGGAAAAAATACCAAACTTAAAGAGTACCTCCCAACTCATTTCACAAGGACTAGAATTACCTTGATACCAAAGACATTTCAAGAAAACTAATATAGATCATCATCCCTCATGAACATGGAAGCAGAAATTGTTAACAAATTATTAGCAAACTGAATCCATCAATACATCATGGCCAATGGAAACTTATTTTAACATTAGAAAGTCAATCAATGTAATTCACCACATTAACAGAATAAAGGAGAAAGACTATAAGATCACCTGAAGAGACGCAGATGCAGCATTTAATAAAATCTAATATGATAAAAACAAACAATAGAAGGTCACGTCCCTAACTAGATAAGAAGTCTCTATGAAAAACCAAGATCAATCTCATGGTGCTGAAAGTGGATATCCATATGGGGGAAAATGAACTTTCACTCTTACCTTACACCATACACAAAAATAAACTAAAAAAGGATCATATGACTAAATGTAGAAATAAAACTAAAATTTCTAGAAGAAAACAGAAGAAATCGTTTGCAATCCTGGGTAGATATATTAGCTTCCTAGGGCTGTCACAACAAATTATAATAGGCAATAATTTTTTCTTTTTTTTTTTGGTAAGAGAATCTTGCTCTGTTGCCCAGGCTGGAGTGCTGTGGTGCAATCAAAGCTCACTGTAAACTTGAACTCCCAGGCTTAAGTAATGCTCCTGCCTTAGCCTCCCAAGTAGCTGGGACCACAGGCTCATGCCACCATGCTTGGCTAAGTTTTTAAAATTTTTTATTTGTAGAGATGGGGTCTCGTTTCGTTGTCCAGGTTGGTCTCAAACTCCTGGCTTCAAGCATTCCTCCTGCCTTGGCCTCCTAAATTGCTGGAATTACAAGCATGAGCTACCATGCCCAGTTGACTGGTGGTAAATTTAAACTGAATGGCTCATGATATTATTTGGATGTTTGTCCCCTTTGAATCTCATGTTGAAATGTGATCTCCAATGCTGAAGGTGGAGCCTAGTGGGAGGTGTTTGGGTCATGGGGGTGGATCCCTCATGAATGACTTGGTGCCCTCCCCACAGTAATGAGTAAGTCCTCACTCTTATTTGTTTACAAGAGAGCTGGCTGGTTAAAAAGAGTCTGGGACTTCCCTTCTCTTCCCATTGCTCCCTGTCTCACCATGTGACACACCTGCTCCCCCTCTGCCTTCCACCATGACTGGAAGCTTCCTGAGGCCTCAACAGAAGCAGATGCTGGTGCCCTGCTTCCTGTACAGTCTGTAGAACCATGAGCCAAATAAACCTCTTTTCTTTATAAATTACCCAGTCTCAGGTATGCTTTATAATGACACAAAACAGACTAACACAACTTAAAGAAACAACGGAAATTTAATCTCTCACATTCAGGAGGCCAGAAGTCTGAAATTCAGTTGTCAGTAGAGGCCGGGCACGGTGGTTCATGCCTGGAATCCCAGCACATTGGAAGGCTGAGGCAGGTGGATCACTTGAGGTCAGGAGTTCAAGACAAGCCTGGCCAAACTGGTGAAACCCCATATCTACTAAAAATACAAAAGTTAGCTGGGCATGGTGGCAGACACCTGTAGTCCCAGCTACTTGGGAGGCTGAGGAAGGAGAATCGCTTGAACCCGGGAAGTGGAGGTTGCAATGAGCCACAATCATGCCACTGCACTCCAGCCTGGGTGACAAAGCGAGAATCTGCCTCACAAAAAAAAAAAAAAAAAAAAAAAGCTTGTATACAAATATATGTAGGAGCTTTATTCACCAATGGCCCCAGAGTGGAAATATCCCAAATATCCATCCACAGGAAAATGGATAAACAAATTGTAGTAAATCTAGGCAATGGAATACTTCTCAGCAACAAAAATTAATATATGCTCCACACAGGGAAAAGCCTCAAAAAAAAAGCCTCAAAAACATGTTATGTTAGGCCATTCTTCTGTTGCTATACAGAAATACCTGAGGCTGGGTAATTAATTTATAAAGAGGTATTTCTGTTGGTGATACAGAGTCTTGCTCTGTTGCCCAGGCTGGAGTGCAGTGGCGTGATCTCAGCTCACTGCCATCTCTGCCTTCTGAGTTTGTGCGATTCTCCTACCTCAGCCTCCCGAGTAGCTGGGACTACAGGCATGTACCACCATGCCCGGCTAATTTTTTTTTGTATTTTTAGTAGAGACGGGGTTTTGCCATGTTGGCTAGCTGGTCTTGAATTCCTGACCTCAAGTGATCCACCCACCTCAGCCTCCCAAAGTGCTGGGATTACAGGCGTCAGCCACTGTGCCTGGCCTATAAAGAGGTTTATTGGGCTCAAGAGTTCTGCAGGCTACACAGGAAGCATGGCGCTGGCATCTGCTCGGCTTCTGGTGAGGCCTCAGGAAGTTTACAACCATGGCGGAAGGCAAAAGGGGAACAGGCATCTCACATGGCGAGAGCAGGAGCCAGAGAGAAGGGGGAGGCCCCACATGCTTTTAAATGACCAGCTCTTGCGTGAACTCATAGGGAGAGCTCACTTACCACCAAGGGGACGGTGCCAAGCCGTTCATGAGGGATCTGCCCCCATGATCCAGATACCTCCTAACAGGCCCCATCTCCAACATGGGAGAGCACATTTTAACATGAGATTTGGAGGGGACACATATCTAAACCATATCACATGCCGAACAAAAAGAGCCTAGCAATAAAGGGTATAGAGTGTGTGGTTCAATTATATGGGATTCACAACAGAAAAACGAATCCCTATGGCCAGAGAGACTATCGGTAGAAATCTGAAGCCAGGCTGGGGCAAAGGTGAACCAGGCAATGTTCTGTAGAGATGAAAATGTTCTACATCTGGATTGGGGTCCAAGTATATACATTTTTCAAAATTCAAATTATACACTAAAAATGAGTGTTTTAACTTATTTTTAAAGAATATTCATCTCACAGCATTAAATATAAAAGTAAAAACCTGGAATTAATGTAAATCTCCAATAGCAGGAAATTGGCTACATAAATTATAACTTCCAATGAACAGTGCCTTCTTTAAACAAATGTTCCTTCTCATAACTCCACTAACATAACAGTAAATCAAGTTTTACCAGATTCTAAAATGAATAAGAAAACCTCATTGTGATGCTGAGGAACACTAGAGAACCTAGTCTCTAGTTGTTAAACTTAAGTACTGGCCAAGAAGCCTTTCTCCTGCCGTTCCTGTGCTAACTGTACCACCTGGTGACAGAATAGTAAGTGAGGTGATGTTTACTTTTTTTGGAAGTACTCTAGCTAATATGAGTGAATAAGGAATGATAAAATTTGGAAACTGCCCAATTTGCCACCTCTGATGTACTAAATGGAGGTAGCCAAAGATCATCAATACTAATACTGAAAGGTGGAAATTGAAGAGTACCTTGCTATCTACAAAGTGGGCTTGCCAAAAAATTAGAACCCGACCAAACCTGTAGATTCAACTACTGATGTTCAAGAAAGAGGACAATAACTTATTTAATGACCCCACAGGATGCAGTAAAGAAAATCCACATGGTGGTATGCTCTATAGGATTACAATTTGTTACTTCAATAAATTGTTTCAACAACAATACAAAAATTAAGACTTAGGATATATCAACTAAGTGCAATGTGTAGAATTTATCTGAATTCATGGCAACAAAGAATTACATATATAAGACAATGGGAAATTATGGTATGATGGGCTGAATTATATCCCCCCAAATTCATATGTTGAAGCCTTTAACTCCCAGCACCTCCAAATGTGACTATATTTGGAGATAGGACCTTTAAAGAGGTAATTTGGACACACACACATGATACTAGGGATGCTGGTACACAGAGAAAAGGCTGTGGGAGGGCACAGCGAGAAGACAGCCATCTACAGGCTGCAAAAGGCCCCAGGAGAAACCGCCCCTGGGACACCTCGATCTCACCCTTTCAGCCCCCAGAGCTGTTGTTTCAGCCACCCAGCCTGTGGTGGTTTGTTATGGCAGCCCTAACAAATTAATATGTGTGGTTATATTTAAATCTCACTATTTAAAATAATACATACTAAAATATTTACAGATGAAATAGGTTGTCTGGAATTTGCGCCAACATAATGCAGTGTGTGTGCTGGGGGTCGAGTGGATGAAAGTATAGATGGGGCAGGATCGACCACTGGTTAATGGCTGTTCTAACTATTTGTATGTATGTTTGAAAATTTTCATAACTTTAAAAAAAATGTACAAATCTCCAAGGACAAAATTTCAGAGGCTGGAAAATGAACAGATGGACGGTAAATGAGTGAGCCCCATCTACACAAAGTGTGGTCCAAGCATCACCTAGGAGACTGCTATTCACATAGACCCTCAGGCTCCAGCTCAGATCTATGAAACCAATCTGCAGTTTTAATAAATCCTCAGGTGAATCACATACAGTGAATACAGACTGAAGCTAGCAGTGGAGAAAGCAGAGTCGCAACCCAATTTATACCTCAGGACCCTCAAAAATCTCAAGAGTGGCTGACCCAAGTGTCTTCAGAAAGGGATGCAAAGATGGGGATAAAAACAGATAGATTCGTTGCAAATGAAATAAGCAGTTAGGTCCCCAGATCTCTTC